>NC_000003.12:195668567-195819567 GCF_000001405.40 Homo sapiens
CGACGGCACGGCCATGATCACCAGGGCAGGCCTTCCTTGCCAGGACCTCGAGTTTGTTCAGTTCCACCCCACAGGTAGGGCAGGACGCCTTGCCCGGAAGGCGTTCGGCTCGTGTGTCTTGTAAGCGTGTGGTGCCTACTCATTGCTCTTCCATAGTTTTATGTAATAACATGGTTTTGAAGATCAGCTTCCATAGCTCTCAGGTCCTAACTTCAATGTCATTTCCTTAAGGAGACTTTTCCCACACTCCCCTTCCCCTAAGGCAGTTTGGGCCACCATCTTATGCATTTCTCAAGAGCCCTAAACCCTGCCTTGGTGATACTTATGCCAGCAGTAAAGCAGGGATTGAGGCCGGGCATGGTGGCTCACACCTGTAATCCCAGCACTTTGGGAGGCCAAGGCAGGTGGATCACCTGAGGTCAGGAGTTCAAGACCAGCCTGCACAACATGGTGAAACCTCATCTCTACTAAACATAAAAAAATCAGCTGGGCATGGTGGCATGCACCTGTGATCCCAGCTACTTGGGAGGCTGAGGCGGGAGGAATGCTTGAACCTGGGAGGCAGAGGTTGCAGTGAGCCGAGATCGCACCACTGCGCTCCAGCCTGGGCAACAGAGTAAGACTTCGTCTCAAAAAAAAAAAAAAAAAAAGTAAAGCAGGAATTGTTCAGTGTCCCTCTTTGCAGTGAGGTTGTCAGCAACTCGGGCAGGCAGGTCTTCTCATTAACTGGGGTGCTCCACGCCCAGCACATGGTAGGGTCTCCATCGGGGTTTACTGAGTGAGCATTCTGAGAGCTGGGTGAATGCCGTGGAACCAAGAAGCAGCACAGGCAGATTTCAGCTTTGTAGGACAACACAGAGCTTCCGTGACAATGGGATGTAAAGTTAAGACACAGCCATGAGAGAACCCCATGTGACGTTGGGCGCTGGGCTCAGCCCACGTGACCACTGAGGGAGCTTGTCGTGGGGAAGATGAGCTCGTCTTGGGGACGTCTGACGGTTGAGGTTACGAATGTGCAATTTGGAGACATTAACTCAGAAATGACAGTTGAAGTCTTGAGTTTGGAGGAGGTTCTTCAAAATGAGTCAGAGACAGACACACACACGTCTGCCTCTTGTTTGAGGTGACTCGTCCTGGACTTTTCTGGGTTGCTTTTCTGACCTGTGGACGATGGAGACCCCTGAAGTGGTGCCAAAGAACCAGACCTGTGTCTTCTCTTTCTCTGTCAGTGTCAGCTTTCTGATCCCTGGAAGGGATGAAAATAAGAAATGGATTTGTTGTAGGTTTTTTTTTTAATTTGTTTAGAGATGGGGTCTTGCTCTGTTGCCCAGGCTGGAGTGCAGTGGAGCAATCTTGACTCACTGCAGCCTTTGTCTCCCAGGCTCAAACGATCCTTGCACCTCAGCCTCCCAAATAGCTGGGACTACAGGCATGTGTTACCATGCCCAGCTAATTTTTGAGGGTTTTTTTGTTTTTGGTAGAGACAGGGTGTCACCATTTTAAGCCCAGGCTGGTCTCAAACGCCAGGGCTTAGGCGATCCTCCTGCCTCGGCCCCTCAGGGTGCTGGCATTATAGCCATGAGCCACTGCACCCGGCCTGTTGTATTTTTTATTACTGTTTTTAATCAGCAAAATGTCAGTGAGCCCCTGAATTCCCTCTGTAATTTGCTTAGAGCTCCACTTCTCATGCTTTGTCTTCAATATGTGAGAAGTAACCACAGAAAAAAGAGCATGGAAACTTAGAAAATCAAAAGGCAGGTGAGATGCAAGAATCACATTCTTGTCTTGAAAGCAAGATTGCCCTTTTTGTATACTAATAAAAATTGTAGCTTTTGAAATACATTTAGTTTAGGGTTTTTGATCTCCTTTGTTAAAATTCGAGAGCTTGGCACGCCCTGTTTCTCATCGCACTGAGGAGTCACAGAGCCGCTGTTTGGGGCACAGACCGCCGGACTGCCCAGGTTTGGGTTTGAGCTCTGTCCTCAGCTGCATGACTGGATGTTACCAAGCGTTAATTTGCTTGTCACTGAGAAAGGGGGTCATACTACCCAGAGTTGTTGTAAGACTTAAATGAGTTTAATATGTGGAAAGCAGCTAGAACTGCCCATAGCAAGTGCAGTGTAAAGATGAACTAAAATAATCATTATTACTGTTCTTGCCACTGTTTGGGTAACTTAGATATGAATTCTCCAAGCTAGTATTCTTAACTAGTCACCACAGTATCATAGTGCAAAAGAATGTTCAAAAATTAAAACAAAATTTGAGGCATCCAACGTACACCGGGCTGTAATCAGAGTATTGGCCAGAGGTCTGTGGGCCGGCCTTTCTCCTCTCTGGGGACGCCACTCTGCCCCAGCCTCTGCTGCAGCTGTCAGCCTTGTCAGTGCTTTTTGTTATCCAGACTTTCTACTGTATCTTAACTGTTCTTTCTGTTCAGTTTTGCATATAATGCCTTCTGCATATCTTTTTTGTCTCTCCCCCAAAAAATATCTTGTAAAAAAAAGTAATGCATTTGAAATAGAGACCTAGCAATTGTTAGGTTATAAATGTGTGGTTTTTTGCAGGCACATATGGTGCTGGTTGTCTCATTACGGAAGGATGTCGTGGAGAGGGAGGCATTCTCATTAACAGTCAAGGCGAAAGGTTTATGGAGCGATACGCCCCCATCGCGAAGGACCTGGCGTCTAGAGATGTGGTGTCTCGGTGGATGACTCTGGAGATCCGCGAAGGAAGGTGCGTGTGGTTTACCACCAGCACTGTCTGAGCGGGCACACGGGCCGGGGTTGCTTCTGTGAGTTTCAGCACCGCTCGCCCTCACCTTCGTGTGCAGGCACATGTGCACAGCCACCTCTCTCAGCTGCCGGCAGGCGTCTGTTAGTCTGCGATATTTTCCTAAAGACCTACATTTTGAAAATTTTAGCCAGTTTCTTTCTCAAATCTGTGGAACAGAGTTTCTCTTAGTGTGTGTGAGTATGTGACGGAGTATGGGAGAGAGAGACACGCACCCAACCTGAAGTCGGCGTGTGAGCCTTGGGTGTGGTGTCTGATACCCACAGATGTTTTTCGGCAGCTTTCAAAGTGTGTGGGTCATTTGCCTTTCAGAAGAACAGTTTGCAGCTCTTTCATTGCCTGACCCTGTTCTTTAATGTGATAACACTTGCTAAATATCTGCTGGTATCTGGTGTGGCCTTTAGAGGTTTTACATTTTTATATTAAAAAAAAAAGAAGTCGGATGGTTTCTTGTAATATGGTGGCCCTCCGTATCCATCGGTTCCACATGTGTGGTTTCAACCAACTATGTACTGAAAATAAAATTGCATCCTTACAAACACGCAGACTTTTTTTTTTCCTTGTCATTGTTCGCTAAGCAACACAGTGTAGCAGCTATTTACCTAGCATTTACATTGTATTAGGTACTATGAGTAATCCTGGAGTTGCTGTACAACTTAAATGTAAAACTTGAAATGAGGATGATTTAAAATATGGAGGAGGATGTGCATAGGTTATATGCAAATACTCTGCCATTTTATATTAGGGACTTGAGCATCCACGGATTTTGGTGTCCGTGGGGGTCCTGGACCCAACCTGCCACGGATACGCAGGGACGACTATTTGGCATAGAGGCCTAATGCTTTTACCAAGGACAGCCGCTGCAGGCTGTGATCCCTGAGACGAGTGTGAGTTCAGTAAGGGCAGAGTTTTTGTTCTGGTTCTCAGCTGTGTCCCAGCACCTGGGATTGTCCCTGGCATACAGTAGATGCTTAGAAAAGATTTGATGAGAGGGTGGCCGTACATGAGGGGAAATTTTCCTCAGTATCAAAACATGTTGAAACTCACACGCTTCCAAGATGACGTATTCTCAGGTCTGCTGCCGTTGCCATTCTCTGCCTTATGTGATGGTGTTCTGTCTTACCAGAGGCTGTGGCCCTGAGAAAGATCACGTCTACCTGCAGCTGCACCACCTACCTCCAGAGCAGCTGGCCATGCCCTTGCCCGGCATTTCAGAGACAGCCATGATCTTCGCTGGTGTGGACGTCACGAAGGAGCCGATCCCTGTCCTCCCCACCGTGCATTATAACATGGACGGCATTCCCACCAGCTACGAGGGGCAGGTGATGGTGCTGGCTTCTCTCCCACAGCTGGAAAGAAGGCTGGGACAATGGGGCCCATCTCGCAGTTGTCTCTTTAGATCTTAGAGGAAGAGACAGATGTTTCCTTCCAGAAAGTACTGTATTGTTTGCTAAATTGCACTTGAAATTTCTATCACTGGAGGATGGAAGGAGGCTTAATAATTTATTCCTCCTTAGTAAACTGTCATAGATACATCATTTGCAGCTTTTCCCATTTTATAATTACTTTCCTATATGATCTTGTGTTATTTCTAATGAGCTTATACATCAAGGGATCTTTATAATTCCTATTTCTAATGATCTTGTACATCGAAGGATCTTTATAATTCATACCTGTGAGTGGTTTGCGGTTCACACAGAGCTTGTCAGTCACTTAGCCTCCTTGTTGGGCGAGGTGGGTGGAAGCTGTTACTTTCCCCGCATAGATGAAGAGGTGAACAGGGGGTAGAAGAGTCTGGAACATCAGTCTCCCCTGCTGATGTTCCTCCACCTGCCGTGCTCCTGGGTCTGAGCTGGAGCACAGGTGGTGAGGGCCTCGGGAACATGGGACACGGGGGACAGTCGCAGATGCTGACATTGGAGGCCCTCTGACCTGCTTGTAACAGCAGGTGCTCAGGGGCAGAGGGGAAACTGGGGTATACATTCGGAAGTTTCCTTCTGAAGAAGAGTAGCTATGGTCCTTACTTCCTTCTTAGATATGGTCTTTACTTCCCTCTCTTTGTTTCTTGGAGATGGAGACTCGCTCTGTCGCTTAGGCTGGAGTGCAATGGCGCGATCTCGGCTCACTGCAACCTCCGCCTCCCAGGTTCAAGCGATTCTTCTGCCTCAGCCTCCCGAGTAGCTGGGATTACAGGCACCTGCCATCATGCCTGGCTAATTTTTATATTTTTAGTTGAGACGGGGTTTCACCATGTTAGCCAGACAGGTCTCGAACCCCTGAACTCAGGTGATCCACCCGCCTCAGCCTCCCAAAGTGCTGGGATTACAAGCGTGAGCCACTGCATGCCCGACCTACTTCCCTCTCTTTCTCTGACCTGCAGCACAGACACCCTGTTGAGGGAGGTGGGCTTGTGGAGGAATGGGCATCTTGACATTTCACCTGAAATCTTCCTTTCCACAGGTCCTGAGGCACGGGAATGGCCAGGATCAGATTGTGCCCAGCCTGTACGCCTGTGGGGAGGCCGCCTGTGCCTCTGCACATGGTGTCAACCGCCTCGGGGCAAACTCGCTGTTGGACCTGGTTGTCTGGTCAGGCATGTGCCCTGAGCATCGCAGAGTCGTGCAGGCCTGGTAAGTGTTTTCTTCAGGACCCAGACTATTTGAGAAGGCGCAGGAGGTTAGTCTTTTTTCTTTTTTTTTGAGACAGGGTCAGCCCAGGCTGGAGTGCAGTGGCACAGTCATAGCAGCCTCAACCTCCCGAGCTCAAGCAGTCCTCAACACCTCAACCTTCAGAGTCCCAAGTAGCTGGGACTACAGATGTGCACCACCACACCTGGCTAATTTAAAAAAATTTTTTTTGGTAGAGACAGGGTCTCACAATATTGCCCAGGCTGGTCTTGAACTCCTAGACTCAAACAGTCTTCTGCCTCAGCTTTCCAAAGTATTGGGATTACAGGCATGAGCCACTGCACCCAGCCAGGTTACAAAGCCTTGATTTCTTACTGGAAATTTGCGTAGTGAGCATATAGAGGTAGTCTGGGTTTTTTCCCCTAGAAGTGATTAAACTGAGAAATCCAGAGATTATATGGTGGTAATGTTGAGACTAGATAGAGGCTGGTTGGGGATCTTAACAGTTAAGGTGACATTTTTGGGGTTACATTTTTTTTTTTTAAATTATTTTGCAGTCATTATTTTCTGTTTAGAAAAAGCACTATTAGGAAGCTGTTATTTTTAGGGGAAGTTCATTACGTATTACTTGCCTGATAAAAATCACTTATTTGCAATGAAATATTTAAAATAGTTGGCATGAATGAATATGTAACTTCTTGGTACTTAGAAAAATAATTTAGGCCATTCTAAAAGTACAACTAACCTCTATTAGAGGAGAAGGGCTGACTTAGAGTGAACAGGATTCCCACCCTCTACGGACAGATTCGATTTCACTTGCTGGTTTTCTTTTCAGGATAGCGTCAAATAATGTGCAGGAAAAGGAATACCGTGTGTGGGAGTGTGAGTCTTATGTGCACGAAGAACAGGACAGTTAGCATCGTTCCCACCTCCAGAGATCCTCACGGTGGTCATGCAGCCTCGTGTGCTCAGAACAGTGTGAGGTGGATGAGGCACTGGTGGATGTTTGCGTGGCAAGGATGGTGGGACCCCAGGCCCACGTTCTTCCCGTTAGCTTTCTCTGGTGTTAACTGTTTAGCATCATTTCTGCTGTTTTTATAGAACAGGCGCTTTTTGCTTTTTGTATGGACTCAAGTGAAATAAAAACTAGCACCGCCGTACCTTATAAACATGACCCTTTTCTATCTGTAGTTAGAAAGGTACAGGCAGTATTAAAAGGGTAGCTACTTCAGACACTGTGTCTCTGTGGATCTGACGACAGCTCAGGAGGCCAGCACATGCAGAGCCGGCGTCTCATCCCCAGCCGTTGCTGATCATCGGCGAAGGCGGAGTTCAGGTGCCTCGCTCCTGACGCCACAGGTTGTGCTTGTCTCACTCCATAGCCCTGCACTTTGTCGCAGTGAGGTCTGATACCACTTCTCTCAGAGCAGTGTAGAAATTTTGAGCTTCTCTTTCTTTGAAAATGCAGAAAAGAACATTTTGTGAGAATACCCTATACTTGACATCTGAGAAACCGCTCACACATGCAGCATCTCACGCAGAATGCTGTGGAGTCGGACTCAAAAGGCTGCACGCCTGTGGTCCTGTTGATAGGACATTCTGGACAAGGCACATCTAGGGAAGAAAAGGGATTGGTGGTTGCCAGAGGCTGTTTCCTGATTGTGCTGAGGCTTACAGACACAGCTCTGTGTGTGTCAAAGTTTGAAAAACCTACATTAAAAATGATGAGTTTATTTTACTGTATCTTTACGCTTTAATTTTTAAAAATGAAAAGGAAAGAAAAAATGCTTGTAGCATCCCTACTTCTCCCCCAACCCCCGACCCCCCCAAAAATATATATATGTGTATTTTTAGACATAGTCTCCCTCTGTCACCCAGGCTTGAGTGCAGTGGTACGATCAGGTGCACGCCACCACATCTGGCTAATTTTTAAAAATGTATTCTAGGGACAGGGTCTCCCTGTGTTGCCCAGGGTGGTCTTGAACTCCTGACCTCAAGTGATCCTCCTGTCTCAGCCTCCCAAAGTGGTTACATGCATCTATCCATGTGTTAAAATCGGTAGAACTGAGGCCGGGTGCAGTGGCTCACACCTATAATCCCACCACTTTGGGAGGCCAAGGCAGGCCGATTGCTTGAGCTCAGGAGTTCGAGACCAGCTTGGGCAAGGTGGTGAAACCCCGTCTCTACCAGAAATACAAAAATTAGCTGGGCATGGTGGCTCACACTTGGGTAGTCCCAGCTACTTGGGAGGCTGAGGTGGGAGGATTGTTGGAGCCTAGAAGGCGGAGGTTGCTGTGAGCCGAGATCACACCACTGCACTCCAGCCTGGGCAACAGAGGGAGGAGACACTGTCTCAAAAAAAAAAAAGAAAAAAGAAACTGTAGAACTGTCCACCGAAAGAAAAAAGTCAATTTTAATGGATGATCAATTTTTAAAGCGTTATAAACAAAAGGAAAAGAGACACCAGCAAGCCTAGAAGCATTTGAGCAGACCGTCAAGAGACCCACAGCCTGGTCCCGAGGAGAGGCGGTAGGCGGGACAGGGCCTGTTTGACTCCTGCATTTCATACCTCCTATCTCCTGCATGTGTTACCTATTGAAGAAAAAATACATATAATTTTATAAAAAAAAAAAACCTTTAAAACTTTTTTCAAGACATCTTGGAAACACAAGAGTTGCAAATCTTGGCCGTGCGCAGCAGCTCACACATGTGATCCCAGCACTTTGGGAGGCTGAGGCAGGTGGCTCACCTGAGGTCAGGAGTTCGAGACCAGCCTGGCCAACATGGTGAAACCCCATCTCTACTGAAAATACAAAAATTAGCCAGGTATGGTTGCAAACTCCTGTAGTCCCATCTACTCCAGAGTCTGAGGCAGGAGGATTGCTTGAACCAGGAGGTGGAGGTTGCAGTGAGCCGAGATGGTGCCACTGCACTCCAGCCTGGGCTACAGAGCAAAATTCCATCTCAAAAAAAAAAAAAAAAAATTGCAAATCTTGAAGTATAGGTGAGAGCACACAACAGTCCAAATCAGCAGGTGACTTGCAAGCACACAGCAGCCACCTTCCTCCCCCTAATGTGAAGGACAGTGGGGCGGCCGGCCCCTTGGGACCACCATCTGGAAGGTGTCATTTTTTCCCGTTAGTGGAGTGACATTTATATACACTTAATGTATATAAATCTGTATACATTTAATTTTTTTTTTTTGTAAGACAGGGTCTCGCTCTGTTGCCCAGGCTGGAGTGCAGTGGCGCGATCTCGGCTCACTGCAACCTCCACCTTTCGGGTTAAAGCAGTTCTCATGCCAGATAATTTTTGTGTTTTTAGTAGAAATGAGGTTTTGCCACGTTGGCCAGGCTGCTCTTGAACTCCTGACCTCAAGTGCTTCACCTACCTCAGCCTCCTAAAGTGCTGGGATTACAGGCGTGAGCCACTGCACCTGGCCTACATTTTAATTTTTTAATTTTAGAGATGATTTCTAGTTTATTCACTCTAAGATCACTTAATGGATATCTACTGTGTGCCAACAGTTTTGCCTTTTATGTCTGTTCTTTAAAATTGGCCCCAACTCAACAGATGGCCTCAGATGTAGGGTGGGTTGGCAGTGTGTTAGCTCAGGAGACTTACACCGTTTCCAGGCTCCTTGAGCGGCTATGCTACATTTTTGTGTGTAGTACTAAATCCATTTGTTTTTTTAAAACGGTTTTCAAAAGTTAAATTCTAGCTCTTTTTGTTGTTGTTTTAGGAGATAAAGTCCCTCCAATTAAACCAAATGCTGGGGAAGAATCTGTCACGAATCTTGACAAATTGAGATTTGCTGATGGAAGAAGCATAAGAACATCGGAACTGCGACTCAGCATGCAGAAGGTAAGAGCCTGGACTCGCTCTGGAGTGAGCAGGCTGGCTGCATACCTGGCCCTGCACTGGTTTTGTTTTTTTAAAAACAGATCTAGGGGGATGCAGGTGCAGCTTTGTGTGGATGTACTGGGAGGTGGTGGAGTCTGGGCTTTTCATGTACCTGTCACCCAAGTCGTGTGTGTTGTACTCAGCAGGTAATTGCTCATCCCCACCCCTCCCGCTTTTTGGAGCCCACAGTCTGTTAGTCCACTCCGTGTGTCCATGTGTACTCACCGTTCAGCTCCCACTTCCAAGGGAGAATGTGTGACACTTGACCTTCTGACTCACTTAGGATAGTGACCTCCCATTCCATCCGTCTGGCTGCAGAAGACATGATTGCATTCTTTTTTTATGGCCAAGTAGTATTTCATGGTATATATGTACCACATTTTCTTTATCCGGTCGTCCGTTGATGGGCACTTAGGTTGATTCCATGACTTTGCTATTGTGACTAGTGCTGCAATAAACATACGAGGCTGCACCAGTATGTGGAGGTAAACAGCAGTAGGACATACTCCTCACTGTATCAAGAATATGAAAGAGACCAGAAGTGCACTTCTTCTCCACATAGAAGGTCAGCAGGCCAGGGCAGAATTAGTGACTGCTTAGCATCCAGGACAGCCTTCTGTGGTTCACTCGTGTGTGCTTGGGCATGACCTCCGTGCCCTGACCGTCGCTGGCTGTCATGGATGAGTCACAGTGTGGAGGAGAGGGAGCCGCAGGACTGCCGGAGAAGCTCCGTCCCCAGCAGGGCAGCTTTCTCTTAGAGGTTTCCTGGAGTTCAACACAACACTGGTGCTTACATCTCAGGCCCAGATATTGATCATGTCATCATGCCTGGCTTCCAGCAGCTCGGAAACGTCTTTAAGCTAGACCTGTTGCTGCCCCTAAATATACTCAGCAGAGAGGGAGAGTGGGCGGCAGGTGGACAGTGATCTGTGCGGCCTGTGCTGCTGGGAGTCGGTCCAGTAGGACCGTCTGTGATGATGGAAATGTTGAGTGTTTGCCGTCCAGTATGGCAGCCATTAGCCATGGGGCCGTGGAGAACCTGATATATAGTCAGTCTAAGAAACTCAATTCCTCTAATAACAAGGATTCTTGTCCATGAATGAGATCTCTTGTCTGCTATTTGCAAGAATTTCTGCGTATTTTCTAGAAAGAAGTCCACTGCTTTAGTCCTATTCTGAAAGGCATTTGGTGTTAGACACAAGAGAACAGGTTCCCTGCTGACAATTTTCAGAGGCCCGTGCCCTTCGGTCTTCAGGTGAGGCTGGGCTTGAGGGAGGTTTTGTGGAACGGTGAGAAGAACAGCGTGACTAAGGCACAGAAGGCTGAGTGATGCCCTGCAGTGCTTTTGTAGGGTTGGAGGCCAGCTGGGAAAGAAGGAACCCTTGCGTTAGAGAATGGGAACATGCCTTAGGATATAGAAATGGCAAATCTGAGATAGTTTGAAGTGAGAATACTAGAAGTGTTCCCACCAAACAAGGTGTGTCTTGGTGCCTGCTGTATCCCAGGCTCCGTGAGGTGCCGGAGTCAGCACTGAACAAACAGAGCTTCCTATGCTTGCGGAAATGCATTTCGTTGGGGGAAGGGATTTTTCTGCTGACTCTGGCTATTAATAGTAACAATCAAAAAAAGAAATGAGGTAAATTGATAGAAACAGGCCCCCAAATGTGGCCATAAACTGGCCCCAAAACTGGCCATAAACAAAATCTCTGCAGCATGTGACGTGCTCGTGATGGCCAGGACGACCACGCAGGAAGGTTATGGGTTTACCGTAATGAGGGCAAGGAACACCTGGCCCACCCAGAGTGGAAAACCTCTTAAGACCTTCTTAAACCACAAACAATAGCATGAGCGCTCTGTGCCTTAAGGACATGCTCCTGCTGCAGATAACTAGCCAGACCCATCCCTTTATTTCCTGTAAGGAATACTTTCAGTAAGTCTTATCACTGGCTTGCTGTCAATAAATACGTGGGTAAATCTCTGTTTGAGGCTTTTGGCTCTGAAGGCTGTGAGACCCCTGATTTCCCACTCCACACTCTATATTTCTGTGTGTGTGTCTTTACTTCCTCTAGTGCCACTGGGTTAGGGTTTCCATGACCCAGCTGGTCTTGGCAGTAAATATTGAAAAGGAATAGATACAGTTGCCATTATTTACAGATATAATTTCCAAAAAATTTCCAGAGAATAAACGGAAAAACTAACAGAAACAAAACAAGAATGTAGTAAGGTATGTGTATAAGAGATTTGTATGTAAAAATCAGTAGCTTTGCAATGTGCCAGCAGTAATCTGCTCAGACATCAGTAAATATCTCATTCGCATTTCAAACAAAAAATTTAAAATGCCTTGAAATAATGTAACCAGAAATACGAAAAGATGATATGAAAACGTCGCTGCTAAAGGACATGAAAGAATGTAATACTAGATTCTGAGATGCAATTTTTTTCATTTGTTCTTCCTGAAAAACCATTAGGTTGATGTGCATTACAGTGTTACGATTATGTATGAGTCTAAGGAAAATCAGATGAAATGTCCAAATTGAACCACGAAGGTGCATTGGTAGAGGAAGAGACAATTAGGGTCAGTGGAGCAAAGCACAGTTAGAGGGAGAAGCAAGGAGGAGGAGGGATCACGGAGGTGGTGCCTGTGTGTCCCACAGGAAGCAAAAGCTGATGCCCAGTTCCCAGCATACCTAAGTAAACTTCAGGTCCACTCCTAGCACGTTTCTCGTGATAGTAAAACTATGAAGGAACTCAGTGTACAAGGAGCTTCTACAAAATAGGCAGAAGACAGTAGCCAGATGGGCCAAGGGCCCCAGCCACCCACGCCCCTCCCTCTCCTTGAAGACCTTCGGTTCCAACCCCACCATCAGCAGGGCTCTGCTCAGTTCCTCCTTGTGTGTATCACCACAGGGCTGCTGGCTCGTGTCACGTTCACCACCAGACCCCACATCAGGAGTCCCGCCAGGGGTGTGGGGAGGCAGTGCTGCCTGGTTGGCCGTGGAGCCGTATGGAACGTGGTGCCTCACAGGCAGTCTGCTTGGCGTCCTGGACCCTGGCTGTATCCCGCTGGAAAGGATGTGTGTGGGTCTAAGATATGTATATAATAGAAACATTTATTCAGAAGCTTTAGTCAAGACTTCATTTTTAAGTTCAGAGTAATAAACTCATAGTCTAAATTTCCTAATTTTTCTGTTTAATTTACATAAATAAAATGAAATGCAAAACAACAGGTCTAAAAGTTAAGCAGTTCTTGGTATGGCTGCTTCTATGAATTAAAAGTTTACAAATAATATTTTGTGCCACAGTCAACGCAAAATCATGCTGCCGTGTTCCGTGTGGGAAGCTTGTTGCAAGAAGGTTGTGGGAAAATCAGCAAGCTCTATGGAGACCTGAAGCATCTGAAGACGTTTGACCGGGGTGAGCAGACAGTGGGCTCTGTGCACACTGTTGGGCCCTGCCTTCTGCAGGGTGGGCTGGTGTCTGTCCCGTCAGTGCTGACTTAGTTCCATGCTTGCTGTCTGGATGGGTGCTGGCCCCCAGCTGTAAAGCCACAACCAGTGACTCCATGGACTAGCAGGCCCAGGCTGACAGCTCGGAGGGCCCGTGTGACTGGGTCCCACCTGCCCCTGATGGAACTTTTTGTGTCCCCAGGAATGGTCTGGAACACGGACCTGGTGGAGACCCTGGAGCTGCAGAACCTGATGCTATGTGCGCTGCAGACCGTCAATGGAGCAGAGGCGGGGAAGGAGTCACGGGGCGCGCACGCCGGGGAAGACTACAAGGTGCGCCTTCTCGCCACGCCCACCTGCACCTGCCTTTTCCTCCCGCCTGGTGGGACTCAGCCCCACCCCTGCATTTTCTCTGCATTTTATGTCGTTTCCCCAAAAGTATATCCAAAAAATGCCTTTTTCCCTCTGGTAACTTTGATCCCTGGGTTCTCGCCATTTTCTGGATCACTGTGACCTGTTCCTTGCTTTGGGTCGGCATCCACTGATGCCAGCAGTGGCATCTCCAAGCCAATGTGCTTTGCTGTTAGAAGGCCAAGGTTAGAAGTGCAGCCAGCGTGGCATGACCAGGAAATAAATGCCAGTTTATTAAATAACGAGTAAGCCACCGTTTCAAGCCTGCCCTATGGAGGAAATGCCAGTTTATTAAATAACGAGTAAGCCACCGTTTCAAGCCTGCCCTGTGGAGGAAATGCCAGTTTATTAAATAACGAGTAAGCCACCGTTTCAAGCCTGCCCTGTGGAGGAAATGCCAGTTTATTAAATAACGAGTAAGCCACCGTTTCAAGCCTGCCCTGTGGAGGAAATGCCAGTTTATTAAATAACAAGTAAGTCACCGTTTCAGACCTGCCTTGTGGAGGAAATGCCAGTTTACTAAATAACGAGTAAGCCACTGTTTCCAACCTGTCCTGTGGTTTGGAAAAGGTATTATAGAGCCTGTCCTGTGGTTTGATTACGGAGACTGCCCTGTGGTCACTTGTTCTTCAGATGAACTGATTTTTGTGCAGAGCACACGTGTTGGATTCTGCCTGGTAAGAGTTTTTCACATATGATAGCAAAAAACGACGGAAAGGGAAGCTTGGGGTGCAAATGCAAGTTCAGGATAAACCACATCGGCAAAAGGACAAAGGCTCCACAAGGCAGGCGCACAGGCTGGTTCAGGGCCATGTGTGGGCGGCTGGTGGCAGCCTTTCCAGTCAGCTGAACACAGTGAATGGGAAAATCATTTTTATTCACCATGAAATTTTACTGATTTACCCTCCACTAGAATATGCTGATGGCTGTGATCACTGCTCAGAATTTGCTCGTCTCCTCATACATATTAAGAGTCTTTCCTGCAAAGTATATGAATCCGTGTTTGCCAGAATACAGAATAATAATAAATTTATTATTTTTAATTTTTTGAGATGGAGTCTCATTGTCCCCCAGGCTGGAGTGCAGCGGCGCGATCTCAGCTCACTGCAACCTCTGCCTCCCAGGTTCAAGTGATTCTCCTGCCTCAGCCTCCCAAGCAGCTGGGGTTACAGGCGCATGCCACCGTGCCCGGCTAATTTTGTATTTTCAGTAAAGACGGGGTTTCACCATGTTGGCCAGGCTAGTCTCGAACTCCCGACCTCAAGTGAACCACCCACCTTGGCCTTCCAAAGTGCTAGGATTACAGGCATGAGCCACTGTGCCTGGCCAGGAGCATAAATTTAGTTGGTGACAACGAGTTTTAATTAGAATAGAAGCCAGGTGCAGTGGCTCCCACCTGTAATCCCAGCATTTGGGAGGCTGAGGCAGGCAGATCACTTGAGCCCCGGAGTTCTAGACCAGCCTGGGCAACATGGCGAAACCTGTCTCTACAAAAATTAAAAAATTAGCCAGGCGTGGTGGTACACACCTGAGGTACCAGCTGCTCAGGAGGCTGAGGCAGGATGATTGATTGAGCCCGGGAAGTCAAGGCTCTGGCGAGCTGTGATCACACCATTGCGCTCCAGCCCAGGTGACATAGCGAGACCCTGTCTCAAAAGAGAAAAAAAGTGTTTTTAATAAAAACAGGCTGAAAGAAAAGATGGAGGTAGTCTCCCAGCGCTTGGAGCAAAAAGACAAAGTATTTGATAAACTCTTAGGTACATAAAGGATGTCTAAGGGAACATGCGGACATGGATTACTCTGGACTCACTGCTGGCTGCACATCGCTGGCCAGCCATGTGGCCTCTGTGGGTTCTGAACGTGTTGATGGTGCCAACCTCCTGGGCTGAAGTGGAAATGGAATGGGTTCTAGGGCATCTGTCTCTTAGATCATTTTAATGTTTGCTGTGTTTTTTCTGTATTGCTCTGTTAGAGTAATGAGAAATGTGATGGTGTTTCTGGCCTCAGGTGCAGATTGATGAGTATGATCACTCCAAGCCCATCCAGGGGCAACAGAAGAAGCCCTTTGAGGTGCACTGGAGGAAGCACACCCTGTCCTATGTGGACGTCGGCACTGGGAAGGTCAGTGTGGAGCTCGTTCTCACCACAGCCCAGCACCCACACGGCCCCGCCCAGGTCTGCGGGCTGGCCTTGCTGATGGTGAACGCGGAGGAGCAGGCCAGATTTAAATCAACTCCCGACAGATTTGAGGCACCGCTGAAAAAGGCACTCTGACAGCAGTCGGGCTTCGGGCTGGAAACAGAATCCAGTGCCTGCAGGTGGTTCAGAGGAGCCTTAAGGAAGGGTTGCTCTGTGGTGTGGGCCAGATGGAAGTCACTGGGCAGGAGCAAGTGTCCAAGGCCTGGTGGCAGGGGAGGAGATGATGATTGTGGACCTAGCGAGAAAGTCAGCATCTGTGTGGTGGGGACAGAGCCACTACCAGAAACCAGTCCCGAGCCAAGGGAGCCCAGAAGAGACCCCTCCCCTCTCTTCCCATGGGCTGGGCCAACTGGAAGCATCTGCAGGGGAGCAGAGGGGATGTGGTGCAGCCCTTAGCATCCCCTGGGCACTGAGCAAGCAGAGAAGGGCAGAAATGGAGGCAGGGTTGGGGTAAGCAGCGTCCTGGGAACAGCCAGCCGAGGGTGTGGTAGGGGGGTTGCAGCTTGTTCCACACAAGCACAGCGTCTTGGGAACAGCCAGCCGAGGGTGTGGTAGGGGGTTGCAGCTTGTTCCACACAAGCACAGTTCACCTGTGTGGCATTTCCACTGGGCATTGAGATTCAGAAATCATGAAGATAGAAAGCTTTTACCCTTAAGCTTTTCATAACTTGTAAGGGAGAGTCGTATAATCACTTAGCTGTGTCTGTGGAAGTTACCTTTGGACTCTCACTATCATCTAGTGTGTCTGTGATTCAGGCAGTGGGTCATTTTCAGAATTTATCATGAAGGCCATTTCCTGATAGTATAGAGAGGTCACACTTCACTCGCTTAGCACAAGTCTATTTTTAATGTTTCCGGGTTCAGGTTTTTTGTTTTGTTTTTGTTGTTCTGAGATAGAGTCTCATCTCTTTTGCCCAGGCTGAAATGTGGTGGCTCGATCTCATCTCACTGCAGCCTCAACCTCCCCTCGGCTCAGGTGATCCTCCCACCTCAGCCTCCCGGGCACATGCCACCATGCCTGGCTAATTTTTGTATGTTTTGTAGAGACGGGGTTTTGCCACGTTGCCCAGGCTAGTCTTGAGCTCCTGAGCTCAAGTGATCCACCTGTCTTGGCCTCCCCAACAGGCATGAACCAACACGCCCAGCCAGTTTCAGTGATTTTTGAAGAAATACATACTCATTTTAGAAAGTACAAAGAGATTGAAATAAGAGCTCACTAACCAGAGATGACCCATTATGGTTTAAATTTCTTTGTATATGTGCCTACCTTTTCCTGTGTGTGCATATTTAATACACGGCTTGAGTATTCCTTCTCTGAAATCCTTGGGACCAGAAGTGTTTTGGATTTCAGGCTTGTTCAGACTTTGGAATATTTGCATTACACTTACTGTCTGAGCATCCTTAATCGGAAGATCTGACTCCATAGCACATTTCTTTTGAATGTCATGCTGGTGCTCAGAAAGTTTCAGATTTGGGAGAATTTCAGATGTTTGGATTAGGGATGTTCTACCTATATAAATATTTACTTTGAAGTAGAAAAACTGGAAGTAGATAGTTTAAACATGAAGTGTCTTGGTATAGACAAGGGTTCTCCCACTTTTCATGATGGGAGCATTTTTGTAAAGCAAAGCACTGAGAATCTGGTACAGTGTCATTTTCGTTGCTCTGTTCCACTCTACCGATCTGCCGTCATTTACAGTCCCCTGTTGCGCATGTAGATCATTTTTGAATTTGTTATTGGAAAATACTGCAGCAAATACCTTAAAGTTCACATGCCGTAAATCTACTTTTATAGTTAAAATTTTTCAAAAGGAACACAAGAGATGGCTTTTTGTACATTTTTGTGCTTAACTTACCACTGACTTCTTTTCAAGGTCACTGTGGAATATAGACCCATAATTGACAAAACTTTGAACGAGGCTGACTGTGCCACTGTCCCCCCAGCCATTCACTCCTACTGATGAGACAAGATGTGGTGATGACAGAATCAGCTTTTGTAATTATGTATAATAGCTCATGCATGTGTCAATGTCATAACTGTCTTTATACGCTTCTGCACTCTGGGGAAGAAGGAGTACATTGAAGGGGGATTGGCACCCAGTGGCCGGGGAGCGTGGCACTTACCTTTGTCCCTTGCTTCATTCTTGTGACAAGATAAAACTGGGCACAGCTGTTAAATAAAATATAAATGAACAAACTTTCTTTTATTTCCAAATCCATTTAAAATATTTTCCTGTTATGACTTGTCATATTTGTTGACCTAAAAATCAAATGTAATTATCTTTGTATTCTGTTACATCAAAATCCAGATATTTTGTTGCAGTTTCTTTTTTTTTTTTTTTTTTTTGAGACAGGGTTGGTGCAGTCTCAGCTCACTGCAGCCTCAAACTCCTGGGCAGCTCAGGTGATCTTCCCGACTCAGCCTTCTAAGTAGCTGGGGCTACAGGTGTGCACCACCACGCCCAGCTCATTTATTTTGTAATTGTAGGGACAGGGTCTCACTTTGTTGCCTAGGCTGGTCTCAAACTGCTGGGCTTAAGTGATCGTTCCTCCTTGGCCTCCCGAAGTGCTGGAATTATAGGTGTGAACCACCATGTCTGGCCTTGTAGTTTATTTCTAAGTTCAAATTAATGTTGGTGCTTTTCCTCCTTTTTTCTTAGCAGATGGTTTGCTAGGTGAGTGTGTCCTCGATTCTTTAAATCAGGGGTCCCCAATCCCCAGGCCACAGATTGTTCCAGTCCATGGCCTGTTAGGAACCAGGCCACACAGTAGGAGGTGAGCAGCCAGCCAGTGAGCATTACTGTGTGAGCTCCGCCCCCTGCCAGAGCATTACTGTGTGAGCTCCACCCCCTGCCAGAGCATTACTGTGTGAGCTCCGCCCCCTGCCAGAGCATTACTGTGTGAGCTCCGCCCCCTGTCAGAGCATTACTGTGTGAGCTCCGCCCCCTGCCAGAGATTACTGTGTGAGCTCCGCCCCCTGGCAGAGCATTACTGTGTGAGCTCCGCCCCCTGGCAGAGCATTACTGTGTGAGCTCCGCCCCCTGCCAGAGATTACTGTGTGAGCTCCGCCCCCTGTCAGAGCATTACTGTGTGAGCTCCGCCCCCTGCCAGAGTATTACTGTGTGAGCTCTGCCCCGTCAGAGCATTGCTGTGTGAGCTCCGCCCCCTGCCAGAGTATTACTGTGTGAGCTCCACCCCCTGTCAGCATTACTGTGTGAGCTCCACCCCCGTCGGCATTACTGTGTGAGCTCCGCCCCCTGCCAGAGCATTACTGTGTGAGCTCTGCCCCCTGTCAGAGCATTGCTGTGTGAGCTCCGCCCCCTGCCAGAGTATTACTGTGTGAGCTCCACCCCCTGTCAGCATTACTGTGTGAGCTCCACCCCCGTCAGCATTACTGTGTGAGCTCCGCCCCCTGCCAGAGCATTACTGTGTGAGCTCCGCCCCCTGCCAGAGCATTACTGTGAGCTCTGCCCCCTGTCATCATTACTGTGTGAGCTCCGCCCCCTGTCATCATTACTGTGTGAGCTCCGCCCCCTGCCAGAGCATTACTGTGTGAGCTCCGCCCCCTGCCAGAGCATTACTGTGTGAGCTCCGCCCGCTGTCATCATTACTGTGTGAGCTCCGCCCCCTGTCATTACTGTGTGAGCTCCGCCCCCTGTCATATCATTACTGTGTGAGCTCCGCCCCCTGTCATATCATTATTGTGAGCTCCGCCCCTGTCATATCATTGCTGTGTGAGCTCCGCCTCCTGTCAGATCAGTGGTGGCATTAGATTCTCATAGGAGTGGAATCCTGTTGTGAACTGCGCATGAGAAGGATCTAGGTTATGCCCCGCTTATGAGAATCTAATACTGATGATCTGAGATGGAACCGTTTCATCTCCAAACCATCCCCACACTTGTCAGTGGAAAAAGTGTCTTCCGTGAAACCAGTCCCTGGTGCCAAAAAGGTTAGGGACTGCCGGTTTAAATAACCAAATGCTAAAAGAACTGGCATAGAAGTAAATGGGCTGCTGCTTTATTTTTAGGCTGTTCTTTTTAGAGAGCAATGACAGTTATTTCCAAGTTTGTCATTAGAAAATAATATTAGGTTGGAGCAAAAGTAATTGCAGTATTTGCCATTGCTTTCAATGGTAAAAGGCACAATTACTTTTGCAGCAACTTAATATTATAAATTTGTTCTTAAAGTGTATTTTTGATAAGAAAGCCGTTTTGTTTTTCCTTCTGTTAATTTTTTGTTTTTTTCTTGGTCGAGACAGAGTCTTGCCATGCTGCCCAGGCTGGAGTGCAGTGGTGTGATCTCGGCTCACTGCAGCCTCCACCTCCTGGGCTCCAGCAGTCCTCCCACCTCAGCCTCCCTAAGAGCTGAGACTACAGGTGTGAGCCACCATGCCTGGCTAATTTTTAGAGACAGGGTTTCACCCTCTTGCCCAGGCTGGTCCCAAACTCCTGGGCTCAAGCAGTCCTCCTGCCTCAGCCTCCCAGAGTATTGGGATTATAGGTGTGAGCCACTGCCAGAAAAACGTTTCCTAAGACAAGGCAGGTCTTACATTATATTTAAATTTTTTTTAATGATGTCTTTTTTGGCAGTGCACAGCCAGAGGACAACACATCACACACAAGAAACAGTTGTGCTCATGTGATGGGGGCCTCAGCACTAGGAAGGAGTGGACTGTTGGCGCACGCAGCAGCTTGAATAAATCTGAAAGTCACTACGCTGCGTAAGAGAAGCCAAATAAAGCGCATGCTGTGTACAGAGGGTGTCGAGAATGCCTCCTACGTGACGGAAAGCAGATCCGTGGTTCCCTGCAGACTGGCAGGAGCAGATTCCAAAGGCACAGGAAGAAGCTTGCAGGTAGAATGTGTTCATTACCTTCTGCGCATTATACCACAAAAAAGCTGGGAATAAAAATGCTAACCAAAAAAAAAGGTGAAAGTAGATAAAATTTCTCAACTGTGTGATGGGTAAACGTGCAGGTTTGCTGTCATGCTTTGTTTATGAAGCTGTGGGGTACAAGGACTCTCATACGTCACTGTGGAATGCAGAACGTTGCAGCCTCATGGAAGAGGATTTGGCAGCATCTAACAAAACGACATGGCATTTGCCCTTAGACTCAGCAATTCTAGAATCTGCCTCAAAAAAAACTCTGGCAAAGAAATGAAAGGACTTTATCCACAGAGTTCTTTTCACAGCCTGAATGTGTTTGCCACAAAGTTCTTCACTGTGGCATTTGTAAAACTGGAAACAATCAAAATGTCCATCAGTAAGGGATTAGGAACATTAATTCGTGCAGTGGGGAACTCCGTACCAGAAGGAGGAATGAGGAACGCCTATTGATAAGGGGCAGAGTACATATAATATAATGCAAATATATATTTGCTTTTTCTTAAAACAGTACAAAGATAAAAATCTAAAGTGGTTGCTGTGGAGGACAGGGGTCAGTGGTGGAAGTGAGACCGAAATAGACTCTGAAGTAATATCTGGACTTTGAAATTGTAAGTGTTTTACATATTACCAAACTAAGTTTTTAAGATAGTCCCTAAAATTGAAAGAATGGTATCTGAAATGAATGAATCTAAATTCCTTGGATTGCATTCTACAGGCGCCAACCCTGAGACAAAAATTTGGAAGGTGGCCCTGAGCAGCAGCTGAAGGGAAGTGGGAGGTGAGACAGGAAAGAGGCGGCAGCATGGGGCGTCCGGGAGCCGGGTCTCATGTGGACAGCTGGGCCCGTGTTCACTGTGGGAGCTGGTGCGTTCCTTCACCAGCCCACGCTGCACAGGTTCAGGATGGTCAATTCCGGGCACCCCTGGCCTGCTCCAGGACATGCTGCTGCCACCAGAGAAAGCCCCTAGGCAGCGTCCCGGGTGCTGGTGGTGTCAGAATCGAGTTTGAGTCTGAGGAGTGACCTGGGGCTGGCTGGGCTAGGCAGCATCACGGGGTTCTGCAGCCCAACTGCACATCAGGCTGGTGACAGTCACGCAGCCTATTACTTCATGTGTCATCAGAGGATCGCTAGAACACAGCACTTCAAGTGTGCAGATTTAGTGAGCCATAGTCTAAAGACAAATAGAGCCACTGAATCCTAAATTTCAATCAATCATCTCCGTTACTCGTCTTATAGGTATTAATCCTTTGAAATTATGTGGGGTGGGAGTTAAAGCAAATAACTAATTATGTTAATGCTAAAACTAAGATTTTTCTGGCAAGGGAAAATCCTCCCAAGTCCCAGCACTTTGGGAGGCCGAGGTGGGCAGATGACCTGAGGTCAGGAGTTTGAGACCAGCCTGGCCAACATGGTGAAACGCCATCTCTACTAAAATTGAAAAATTAGCTGGGCATGGTGGCAGGTGCCTGTAATCCCAGCTATTGGGGAGGCTGAAGCAGGAGAATCGCTTGAAACAGGAGGCAGAGATTGCAGTGAGCCGAGATTGTGCCACTGCACTCCAGCCTGGGCAACAGGAACAAAACTCTATCTCAAAAAATAAAACAAGATTTTTCTGAGAAAAAGGTGTAAAACCGTATACTAAATTTGAAATAGAAATATAAGCGTGAACTCATTTGTTGTTCTTTTACCGTAGACACATTTTCTACCTCTGCCCCAGTAGCAGTAGACACATCAAGCACCTAGAAAGTGGTCTCTAATACATGAAAACCATGAATTCATAGTGGTGGTTTCAAAGCCAAAACCAAACAAACACATGTAATTGGTCACTCTTGGAGGTACCTAGGGCACTAACTCCTAACACTGGGAATGGACACTTGAAGGAAGATCAGTAATTATCCTGTCTTTTCTCTACAAATTGCAATTCAGGGAAACCTTGTTGATTAGGGAAAGTTCTTTACATAAGAATTCCTGCAAGTAAGTGAGTAAAGAATGACAGTTTAAGAATTGTCCCAGCCTGGCCAACATAGTGAAACCCCATCTCTAAAAATACAAAAAATTAGCCAGGCATGATGATGGGTGCCTGTAATCCCAGCTACTCAGGAGGCTGAGGCAGGAGAGTTGCTTGAACCTGGGAGACGGAGGTTGCAGTGAGCCGAGAGTGCGCCACTGCACTCCAGCCTGGGCAACAAGAGTGAGACTCTGTCTCAAAAAAAAAAAAAAAGAATTGTCAAATTGCTACCCCTAATGCCATGGTTCTCTAACCTGTGTAACAGGATCAGCTGGAGGGACGCTACCCCAGACCTTCCAATTCAGTCCTGGGGGGACCCTAGTCCAGACCTTCCGATTCGGTCCTGGGGGGGCCCTAGTCCAGACCTTCCAATTCAGTCCTGGGGGGACCCCACCCCAGACCTTCCGATTCAGTCCTGGGGAGACCCTACCCCAGATCTTCTGATTCAGTCCTGGGGGGACCCTCGTCCAGACCTTCCGATTCAGTCCTGGGGGGACCCCACCCCAGACCTTCCGATTCAGTCCTGGGGTACCCCACCCCAGACCTTCCGTTTTCAGTCCTGGAGGGACCCTACCCCAGATCTTCCGATTCAGTCCTGGTTCGGTCTGAGAATTTGCATTTCTAACATGTCCAGGGAACACAGTTTGAAAACCTCCACGGCTAACATGTAATGGGATGACATGGTCCAATAAATGAAGGAAAAATAACAGGTGGCAACCTCAGGCAGCTTCATCCCAACCAGTAAGAAAGTAAATCCTTTTGTAAACTAAGAGGAAGTATTAATATGGGCGTTTGAGCAAACATTTAAGTGTTAGGACAAAGAATTAAAAACTAGCACAGGCACCCCTGAAGCATGATAGGATGGCAACAGAAGGGCTGATTTAGTTTCCAAGAAATAACTGACAGGCAGTGTTGTGCGTGTGTCTACTACTTAGGAACCCAAAACAAACCTTCAGACCGTTTTCATGAGTACTGAGACCAAGAAAACCACTGGGCAGTGGGTGGTCTGGAAATGTAAATGTTGATGGTACTCCAGTAATGAGTCATGGAACAATGTTTCATATTGAAAATGTTTTTGTAAATGTGGGTTTCAGGGTTTCAAAGTGAACCCATATGTGTTAGGAGAAAGGACACACCAAAGAAGTAAAATAATTGGGTCAATATAAAAAGTAGAATATTGCCCAGAGAGAAGATGTGGATAATTCCTAATACGGATCAAAGGCACCAAAAAGGTGAGCTGTGAGTAAGATATTCAGACCTGCACCATCCCAAGCAGTAGCCACAGTGGCAAGTAGCCTCCTCACTGGACAGTGCAGCTACGGAATGATGCCATCACCGGAAAGTTCCATCAGCCAGCACCGATGCAGACCTTTGCAACTGCCCCTCACGCTGGACAGCACCTGTTTGATAGATTGTCCACTACGCAGTGAAAAGCCTGGGTGAAAAGCGGTATTTGGTAGAAGAGCAAAAAGGGGAAAAAAATTAAAAGTAGTAGGTCATTGTCCGCCAAACTGAATTCTGGCAGAAGAATGTTGGAAGCAAGATGGGAGCCACAGGAGAAAGTATCCTTGTCCCAAGACAGGAGGGGGTGCCAGGCATGGTTGGCTCTGTGCCTGGAATTCTATGGCCGGAATCTGGAAAAAGGAAAAGTGACTGGAAAAGGAAAGATTCTGTGTGCTTATGTCAAGATGCAGCCGTCCGTGATCCTGAGAAAATAAGTGAACAAAGTGGCTTTGGAGGGACGCTGTTGGATACACAAACAGATACAATGTGCACTTGCTATGCTTGTTCACACAAAGGACAGGATGGTCATCTGTTCATTGAACAACTACCTGTCGAGGGCCTATATGTGCCAAAGACATCAGATGAACAAGAGGGTGCACTGTGGAAAGCCTCAGGAACACAAGCGCCCAGAAACATTTAGAAAAATTCTAAGGAAAACAGAAAAGGCATTTTCAGATTAGCTCATAGAAATGAGACCAAAGGAAAGACTGGCCCAGTATTTGGATACATTATGTGATAAACCTTAACACAGGGAGGAAAGTGTTATCTTTCAATTAATTTCTCAACTTCTGGAGACCTTAGAACAGACCTGGCTAGGAGGAAATTGAATCCGAGGCAGGTGAGGACATAGTGGTGCCTCGATGCTTCCAGTGATTGCGTCAGCAGAACCAGGGGTGGGAGATGATCTCTCTTTTTGTTGGCAGATGGTGGTGTCTGCTGTAGCTTTGTCCCCTGGTGACGGGACTCAGGCAGTAACCCCCATCATTGGCAATACCCCCACCTCTGAGAATGTGGAGAGGACTTGTGAAGACAATGTTGTCCCAAGCAGCACAGCCCAGGTGCTGACAGGATTCAGAGTTAGAGCTTTCTTAGAGGTCAGGGTTGCGGAAGAGGCAGGGACTGCAGCTGCATAGTTTGTATATGTATCAGGCTAGTATCTTTTGTTCTAGACTCATCCATTTGTACATTCATATGAGTATGCATGCATGGTGTTTTTTCTTTTTCTTTTTCTTTTTTTTTTTTTTTTTGAGATGGAGTCTTGCTGTGTCACCCAGGCTGGAGTGCAGTGGCATAATCTTGCTTGACTGCAAGCTCCGCATTCCGGGTTCAAGAGATTCTCCTGCCTCAGCCTTCCGAGTAGCTGGGATTACAGGTGCCTGCCACCACACTTGGCTAATTTTTGTATTTTTAGTAGAGATGGGGGTTTCACCATGTTGGCCAGGCTGGTGTCGAACTCCTGACCTCAGTGATCCACCTGCCTTGGCCTCCCAAAGTGCTGGGATTACAGGCATTAGCCACTGCGCCCAGCCGTATGTCTCCATCTTTTTATTTCTTGCAATGTGTTGTTAAAGAAGTCAGGTGGTATGTGTACACAAGTAACGTATACTTGTTGAATATTTCTTATTTATCATACCCTGTCTCGTTCCAAAAGGATTTTACATGACTTATAATTTTAATATAATCCGGGGGAGATGGGCAGATTCAGCTCTGGGAGGCCAGCAGAATGGCTTTTAGGTCCTCCTTGGATTCAGAAAATACTTCTTGAAAGATATTTGAGGTAAATCTTACAGGATTAGAGGTTAGCCAGATGAAAAGAAATCAAGAGAGGAGAGAGGAGCCCCCACAAAGGACTGACCCAGGGCAATAACGGGGAAAGAACTTGGAGGTACAGAGGCAGACCTTGGTGTTTCCCAGGGTGTGGGACGTTGGGGGTAGTAAGGCTGGAGTGGGTAGAGGAAAGGGCTAGGGTGACACCACGGGGTATTAGGTGGAACTGAGGGAAACAGAAATAGGAGCAGAGAAAAGGGAATGAGAACGGGAAAGAGGGAGGTGGGAAATAGAAGAGGGAGTTTCCAAACAGCAACAACAACAGAAACAAGTGTTTTGGGTTGTGGAGCGTTTGCCCTGCAGAGAGCTGGGTCTGCCCTTGTCCCTTTTGGGGATTATGAATCAGTGCGTGGAGCCGCGCGGCCACATCCACCATTCACTTGCACTTGAGTGACAGCCAAGCTACAGTCATGAATACGTTTCTTTCTTTTTACAGAAGAACAGTAAATTGACTTTATTCCTTATAAAGGTGATACTGGAGAATGTGACATAGATTTGCTGGCACATGGGTTTCCTATGAGCAAACCCCAGAATTGGACACACGTATCTGGTGCTGCATTGGAATCATCCCAAAAAACCAAGGCTTGCATTGCATATCTATCTGCTGTCTGCTGAAGGAGCCCTGTCTGTGTGCCCAAGGAAGTGACATCCTTGCCAAGGGCTGTCCCTGTCGCAGGAGATGAAGGAGCCCTGTCTATGTGCTCAAGGACAGTGGCTTCCTTGCCAAGGGCTGTCCCTGTTGCAGGAGATGAAGGAGCCCTGTCTATGTGCTCAAGGACAGTGGCTTCCTTGCCAAGGGCTGTCCCTGTTGCAGGAGATGAAGGAGCCCTGTCTATGTGCTCAAGGGCAGTGGCTTCCTTGCCAAGGGCTGTCCCTGTTGCAGGAGATGAAGGAGCCCTGTCTATGTGCTCAAGGACAGTGGCTTCCTTGCCAAGGGCTGTATCTGTTGCAGGAGATGAAGGAGCCCTGTGTGCCTGAGGACAGTGGCTTCCTTGCCAAGGGCTGTCCCTGTAGCAGGGGAAAGCCTTTCAGGACCCTTTCTTAGAGAAATAGGTCTCAAAGTGAATGAATATACCTCCTCACATACTCACCAAGCAGCCTGCAGAGGATACAGCTTTCCATGTGGCTCAGGGAACAGTTGATATCAACAGTCTCTCAATTCCTTTATTATTATTATTATTATACTTTAAGTTCTGGGATACATGTGCAGAACGTGCAGCGTTGTTACATAGGTATATATGTGCCATGGTGGTTTGCTGCACCCATCAACCTGTCATCTACATTGGGTATTTCTCCTAATGCTATCCCTCCCCTTGCCCCCAACCTCCCAACAGGCACCGGTGTGTGATGTTCCCCTCCCTGTGTCCATATGTTCTCATTGTTCAACTTCCACTTATGAGTGAGAACATGCAGTGTTTGGTTTTCTGTTCCTGTGTTAGTTTGCTGAGAATGATGGTTTCCAGTGTCATCCATGATCCTGCAAAGGACATGAACTCATCCTTTTTTATGGCTGCATAGTATTCCATGGTGTCTATGTGCCACATTTTCTTTAACCAGTCTGTCATTGATGGGCATTTGGGTTGGTTCCAAGTCTTTGCTATTGTGAATAGTGCCGCAATAAACATACATGTGCTCGGGGCTGGGCGCGGTGGCTCAAACCTGTAATCCCAGCACTTTGGGAGGCTGAGGCGGGTGGATCACGAGGTCAGGAGATCAAGACCATTCTGGCCAACATGGTGAAACCCCTTCTCTAGTAAAATGCAAAAAATTAGCTGGGCGTGGTGGTGTGTGCCTGTAGTTCCAGCTACTCAGGAGGCTGAGGCAAGAGAATCGCTTGAACCCGGGAGGTGGAGGTTGCAGTGAGCCGAGACCGTGCCACTGCACTCCAGCCTGGCAACAGAGCAAGACTCCGTCTCAAAAATAATAAATAAACATACGTGTGCATGTGTCTTTACAGTAGAATGATTTATAATCCTTTGGGTATATACCCAGTAATGGGATGGCTGGGTCAAATGGTATTTCTAGTTCTAGATCCTTGAGGAATCGCCACACTGTCTTCCACAATGGTTGAACTAATTTGCACTCCCACCAACAGTGTAAAACTATTCCTATTTCTCTACATCCTCTCCAGCATCTGTTGTTTCCTGACTTTTTAATGATCACCATTCTAACTGGTGTGAGATGATATCTCATTGTGGTTTTGATTTGCATTTCTCTAATGATCAGTGACGATGAGTTTTTTTCATGTTTGTTGGCTGCATAAATGTCTTGAGAAGTGTCTGTTCATATCCTTTGCACACTTTCTGATGGGGTTGTTTGTTCTTGTAAATTTACTTAAGTTCCTTGTAAATTCTGGATATTAGCCCTTTGTCGGATGGATAGATTGCAAAAATTTTCTTCCATTCTGTAGGTTGCCTGTTCACTCTGCCTGGTCATATGCAGAAAACCGAAACTAGACCCCTTGCTGACACTTATACAAAAATTAACTCAAGATGCATTAAAGATTTAAACGTGAGACCTAAAACCAGAAAAATCCTAGAAGAAAACCTAGGCAACACCATTGAGGACGTAAGCATGGGCAAAGACTTCATGACTAAAACACCAAAAGAAATGGCAACAAAAGCCAAAATTGACAAAAGGTATCTAATGAAACTAGAGAGCTTCTGCACAGCATGACTGTATTTCAGTGCACGTTTACCACCGAGCTCTTAACGCTCCACCACTGTCCTGTGTCATTAGGATCCCAGCTCTGCAGCCATTCCTCTAGTTGGGCCTGGGTCGGCTCTGGGATGCCGCGGGGGGGCCGGTCGGCGGCGGAGGGGCCAGTGGGGACCCGGGGCAGGGGCGGAGACCCCTCCCACTGCACATCCCACTGCCTGGGTATCTGGCCCCCAACCGGCCTGCCCGCTGCTCCCACCTCCCATGGTGGGTCGGGGGCTGAGGGCTGGGGACTGGGGCAGGGTACCCCAAATATCTCTCGGTGGCGATCGCTCAGTCCGTGCAGTCCATCCAGCTCCTGCATTGTCCGTCCTACCAATAACCTCTCACTTGCAATTCTCAGCCCCTTCCTGCATTGTCTCCCTGTGAGACCTACTAGAACCCCCGCCTTTCACACTGCTGACCTGCTGGGGGAAAATGCACAGAGGCAGAGACGAGGCCACGCGGGAGTCCTGATCTCTAACCCCAGCCGGTCTCAGGCCTTGCCGAGGCAACGCTGCTTCCCCAGACACTCTCCCTTTCCCATTCTTTTTTTTTTTTTTTTTTGAGTTGGAGTCTCGCTTTGCCACCCAGTCTGGAGTGCAGCGGCGCGATCTCAGCTCACTGCACCCTCCACCTCCTGGGTTCAAGCGATTCTCCTGCCTCAGCCTCCCAAGTAGCTGGGATTACAGGCACACACCACCATGCCTGGCTAATTTTTGTATTTTTAGTAGAGATGGGGTTACACCATGTTGGCCAGGCTGGTCTCAAATGCCCGACTTCAGGTGATCCACCCGCCTCGAGCTCCCAAAGTGCTGGGATTACAGGCGTGAGCCATCGCGCCTGCCTTTACTTTCCCATTCTTAACGCCTCCCGTTTCAGACCTGTCCCCTTTTCCCCGCATTTCTGACTGTCACGGCACATCACAACCAGCAGACAGGGCTTCCCCTATTTCACAGGAGAAATAGAAGCCATCAGATGGGACCTCCTTCAAAGTCCTGCCACCAAACCTCAGCATGTACCTGGACCCACATGTATCCTCTTTTCCTTTGGGATTGAATTAGAGAGGTGCCGCTCGAAACCCGCTCCTGGGTGGGAGTCTTGGCTCTATCAGTTATGCCTCTATTCTGTATGTTTAACCTCGCCCTCGTAGGGGCATAAAACAGCATTTAAACAGGATCAAGCTTTCCATTTTAAAACTCCATACACTCCCTTAATTTCATCTCCTCCTCCACCTACTGCCCCATGTCTCTCCCTCTTCCTGGCTAAACGTCTCAAAAAAGTGGATACACTTTCTGTCAACTCCTAAACACTCCTCACGCTCATTTGGCCTCTGCTCCTCCCTTCCTCCTCCCACTTCATTGGAACTACTTCTGCCAAAGAGGATCCCTGAGTCAGCCTGACTGGTAACCCCAATGGACTCTACTCAATATGCAACATCCTTCACTTCTTAGCAGAGTTTGAAACAGCCTGACTCTCCTCTTCTGGCAACATTCTTTTCCTTGGTTTGGGGACGCTGTACTGTTCTGGTTTTGCCCCTCCCTCCGAGCATTCCTTGTGTTTGTCCTGGCCCATTTTCTCCTCTCATTCTACATCCTCTCCCCGGGGATTTTAGCTTCTCTCACGGCTCAGGTTACCATCTCCATAGTGATGACTATCAAATTCTGTACCTCATTTCCAGAGGCTCCTGACAGACTTGCTTGGTCAATATACTACTGGACATATTCATGAGACTGTCTCACACAGGCATCTCGAACCCAGTGTGTCCCACAATTCTCTTCCTATCCATGCCTGTTCCTCTTCCACTGCCTCATATGTCGGTGACTGTCCACCTTCTCTCTCTCTCCCCCTCTCCGTTTGGCTCATAGGAAAAGTGTCACCAAGGGCTGTAAGTGCAGATTTCTAATTATCCCCTAAATTTGAACATTTTTCCTCTCGAAAGTGTATGGCCATTACCCTATTACAGATCAACATCTTCAATCACTGGAATGATGGCAATAATCTAATTGGGTTCATTTTATCCTCTATCTAACAATGACAACTCATTGCCTACACAGCAGGTAGAAGGAGTTTGTTTTCAGAATTGCCCTCTGACCTATTTAAGACGCTCAGATATTCCCTGAGGCTCCTTGGCCTGGCCACAAAGGCCCTACACATTCTGGCTGCTTCCTCCTTTCCAGCATCCTCTCTCACGTCTCCTCTCCTCAGTTCCACCCTCAGGAGGCACCAGAATTCCTCACTTCTTTGACTACAAGGCACCGTCTTACTCCCAAGACCAGTGAATCCGAAGGTGGACCACCAGCTGAGGGACTAGATTCCAGACTGAATAGAACAACTTTCCCTGTCTCTCCACATAAAGTGTGTTTGTTTTTCCTCTTACAGGTTTCCTTAATGACAACAAAAAAGGGAGTAATCCTACCCACTGTAAGAGTCATGACTCTTGATTGCAGCTGACAGAAACTCATGACAGCCTGCTTTAGATGAAGGGGGAGAGAAGGACTGGAAGAATCTTGGAGTTGGGAATGTCACACGTAATTGAAGGAAGAACAAGAAAACTATAGTAAAGAACCCTGGGGTGGTGATGTAGTCATGGGCCAAGTGTCCTGGAACCCTGGGGTGGTGATGTAGTTGTGGGCCAAGTGTCCTGGAACCCTGGGGTGGTGATGTAGTCATGGGCCAAGTGTCCTGGAACCCTGGGGTGGTGATGTAGTTGTGGGCCAAGTGTCCTGGGTTTTGGGTGGAGAAAGAGTCCCCTAGATAAGTTATTAGGTGGGTGCAAAGGTAATTGCAGTTTTTCCCATTATTTTAATTGCGAAAACAGCAATTACCTTTGCACCAACCTGATGGAGTCCCCCTTGCCATGCTTCTCTCTGTGAAAAACCCCAAGCCGAAGTCAGCATAACATCCACAGGACTCTATGTTTGCAAAAGCCAGCTTAGCTATATTACATGTATAAGCACATTTTTTCAATAAGTCAGCCTTAGCTTACTGTAACTTTTTAACTTTATAAACTTAGTATTTTAACTTTTTAAACTTTTTTGTTGAAAACTAAGACACAAAAACACATGTTAGCCTAGATCCACACAGGGTCAGGGTCATCAGTATCACTGTCTTCCACCTCCACATTTTGTCTCTCTGGAAGGTCTTCAGGGGCAATAACACACATGGAGCTGTCATCGCCTGTGGTAACAATGCCTTCTACAGTACTTCCCAAAGGGCCTGCTAGTTCACTTAATTCTTTTATAGAGAGAAGGAGTACACTCTAAAACACTGATCAATAGTATATTATAGTAAATACATAAACCAGGAACACATTTATTATCATTATCACGTATTGTGTATTGTACAGAATGGTGTGTGCTGTGCTATCCAGGAACACATTTATTATCATTATCAAGTATTGTGTACTGTACAGAATGGTGTGCGCTGTGCTTTTATGCAAGTGGCAGCACAGTAGCTTTACACGAGCATCACTAGACACATGAGTAGCATTGCACTCGGCAACAGGAATTTTTTCAGGCCCATTATTATAATCTTATGGGACCGCATCCTATATGCAGTTTGTCATTGACCAAAATGTCCTTATGCGATGCATGACTATATTTGCAAAGGACTAGTATCTAGAATACATTTAAAAGTCTTAAAATAGTAACAAAACAAAGAATGCAATTAGAACATGAGCAAAAGATACAAAGCAACATTTCACTGGAGAAGATATACAGATTGCAAATAAGCACATGAAAAGATGTTTGATACCATTAGGGAAACGCTTCTTTAAACCAGGAGATATCACCACGTGTTAGAATCAACAAAATAAGGCCAGGCATGGTGGCTCACACCTGTAATCCCAACACTTTGGGAGGCTGGGGCAGGCAGATCACATGAGATCAGGAATTCAAGACCAACCTGGCCAACATGGCAAAACCCTGTCTCTGCTGAAAACACAAAAATTAGCCAGGTGTGGTGGCACACGCCTGTAGTCCTAGCACCTTGGGAGGCTGAGGCAAGATAATTGCTTAAACCCAGGAGACGGAGGTTGCAGTAAGCTGAGATCATGCCACTGCGCTCCAGCCTGGGCGACAGAGCAAGATTATGTCTCAAAAAAAAAAAAAAAAAAAAGAATCACCAAAATAAAAAATAGTAACAATACTATTGTCAAGGATGCAAAGGAACTGTACCACTCAATCACTGCTGTGAGAATTTAAAGTGGTGCAGCCACTCTGGGAAACAGCTTGGCTGTTTTTTTTTATGACTGAATGTGCAACTACTATATGATGCAGTAATTTCATTTTTGCACATTTATCCCGGAGAAATGAAAACATATATTCACACAAAACCTGTATATGAATGCTAATAAAAGTCAATTGGCCAGGTGTGGTGGCTCATGCCTGTAATCCCAGCACTTTGGGAGGCTGAGGCAGTGGATCACCTGAGGTCAGGAGTTTGAGACCAGCCTGGCCAACGTGGTGAAAACTCGTCTCTACTAAAAATACAGCAATTAGCTGGGTGTAATAGTAGCCACCTGTAATCCCAGCTACTGGGGAGGCTGAAGCAGAAGAACCTCTTGAACCCGGGAGGCAGAGGTTGCAGTGAGCTGAGATCGTACCACTGCACTCCAGCCTGGGCGATAGAGTGAGACTCTGTCTCAAAAAATAAAATAAAATAAATAAAAAGATTAGATAATCTGCAAAGTTCCTGTGAGCGCTGTCATTTTGTCACTCTGGTTTTTCAGATTCTTCCCCTGGAGGCTGGAGTTTCCAGGATGTCAAAATTACCTCTGCTTGGGTGAGCTATTTCAAGCAGCTGGGATACCTGTGTCACTCCTGCTGTCTGCCAGTGACTGCCCAGGTGTCTGCTGGTTCCTCCCCAGGAGTAGGGAGGAACCAGGTGGGCTGGCTGGGATGGGTGGATATTTAAAGACCAGGCCTTGGACGCTGCAGCACTTCTATCTCTGCTTGATGCCTGCTGCCACGTGGCTGGTCCTCCTCCTCCTGCTGTGGCTGAGCCTTGGGGTGAAGACAGGTGAGGAGCTAGGCTGGCATCTGTGCTACAGGTCAAAGAGACCCCAATCTCTGCTCTCTCATTCATTCAATCAATTAATCTGTTTTGTCTCTGGCATGACCCACCTCCTGTGACCCAGCATTCATTAATTCATTAATCAAATAATTCATGTATTCAGACACTTATTAAGTACCGACTATATGGTTGATGTGGCTTCTTTGTGTATCCAGTTTTATATCTGGATAAGATGTCTTTGGATGATCAGCTTGGGAGGGTCTAGTATCCAGAGGATGCTCCCTCGGATAGAGGCAGCGTGGGCACTGTGGGTGGCTGGGGTGGACGGGACAGGAGGGAAGGTAGGTGTGATAAACCCAGATCCAGATTAACAGGCAGACTCACTGGGCAATTTCCAGGCACCAGTCTACTGGGTTTATTCAAACATCCCTGGAAATACAACAGGGTGAATACAGTTGCATTTACTAGAACTTCTCTCTCTCTCTCCTCTCTCTCTCTTTTTAATTTTTTTTTTTCCAGACAGAGTCTGCTCTGTCCCCCGCCAGGCTGGAGTGCAGTGGTACGATCTCGGCTCACTGCAACCTCCACCTTCTGGGTTCAAGCCATTCTCCTGCCTCAGCCTCCCGAGTAGCTGGGATTATAGGCATGCACCACCATGCCTGGCTAATTTTTGGCATTTTAAATAGAGACAGGGTTTCGCCATGTTAGCCAGGCTAGTCTTGAACTTCTGACTTCAGGTGATCTGCCCACCTCCGCCTCCCAAAGTGTTGGGATTACAGGTGTGAGCCACCGTGCCTGGCCCTAGAACTTCTCTTGGGAGAAAACTAGATGTCATTGGTAGGAACACAGTCAGCTGTTGCTTAATGATGGAGACACATTCTGAGAAATGCATCATCAGATGATTTCTTTGTTGTATGAATATCATAGAGTTCACACAACAATGAAATCGAGAGTTTACATAAACCTAGATGGTTTATATATATATTTATTTACATGTTTGTTTTCCACATGGAAAGCCACATGTCCCAGCACATGTCCCATTACTGAACATCAGTCATTTCCCCTGCTTGATCCTCAAGGCCAATATCGAGCACCATATATCGGGTTTCTGCATATGCCCTATTATAATCTTATGGGGCCACCGTCATATATATGGTCCATCATCGGTCTAAACATCGTGATGTGGCACAAGGCTGTACTTCTTGGCTGGGTGCGGTGGCTCACGCCTGTAATCCCAGCACTTTGAGAGGCCGAGACGGGTGGATCACTTGAGGTCAGGAGTTCAAGACCAGCCTGGGTAACATGGTGAAATACCATCGCTATTAAAATACAAAAATTAGCCAGGTGTGGTGGTGGGTGCCTGTAATCCCAGCTACTTGGGAGGCTGAGGCAGGAGAATCACTTGAACCTGGGAGACAGAGGTTGCAGTGACCCGAGATTGCGCCACTGCGCTCTAGCCTGGGTGACAGAGGGAGACTCCATCTCAGGAAAAAAAAAAAAAAAAAACCCAAAGCTATTTATTGTGGAAAAATTCAAACACATGCAAAAGTAAAGAGAATAGGATGATGAACCCAAGGTACCAGTTGGCCACCTTCAATATTATCAACATTATGCTCAAGCTCTTATCCCCCATATTTAAAAAATATAACCACAATACCTTATCAGAGCCAAAACAAATATGGTCGCACACCTGTAATCCCAACACTTTGAGAGACTGAGGCGGGCAGATCGCCTGAGGCCAGAAGTTCAAGACCAGCCTGGCCAACATGGTGAAACCCCTGTGTCTACTAAAAATACAAAAATTAGCTAGGCATGGTGGCGGGTACCTGTAATCCCAGCTACTCGGGAGGCTGAGGCAGGAGAATCACTTGAACCAGGGAGGTGGAGGTTGCAGTGAGCCGAGATTGCGCCACTGCACTCCAGCCTGGGCAACAGAGCAAGACTCTGTCTTTAAAAAAAAAATTAATTAATTAATTAATTTAAAAAACTACTTACTATCGTTTAATACCTATCAGTGTTCATATTTCCCCCACTTGTCAAAAATATCTTGTTATTCAGCAGCAAAGCAGAAGAGAAAAAGAAAAAATAAGATCAGATGTGGTGGCTGATGCCTGTAGTCCCAGCACTTTGGGAGGCCAAGGTGGGAGGATCACTGGAGCTCAGGAGTTTGAGACCAGCCTGGGTACAATAGCGAGACTCAGTCTCTACAAAAAAAAAATTTGTTTAAAAATTAGCAAGGTGTGTTGATGTTCACCTATAGTCCCAGCTATTCAGAAGGCTGAAGTGAGAAAATTGCTTGAGCCCCAGAAGTTGCGGCTGCAGCGAGCTGTGACCATACCACTGCATTCCAGTCTGCTGCACCGAGTGAGACCATGTCTCAAAAAAAAAAAAAAAAAAAAAAAAAAAAGAAAGAAAGAAAAATGCCTTTTTACAGCTGGTTTATTCAAGTCAAGATCCAAAAAAGATACGCACACATGTTTAACTAGCATATTTCTTAAATGTCTTTAAATCTATACCTAGATCAGTGCCATTTTTTCATGTCATTTAGCTGTTGAACGAACCAGGTACTGTGTCCTGCGGCATATCCTACCTTCTGGGTTTGACTGATTGAATCTTTGTGGATGTCCCTCTGCCTCTGTCTTTCCTGAACTCTGGTAGTTGAGATCAGGACTGGAGATTTCTTAGGCAGGAAGAATCCATAGGTGGGTACTTCCTATCGCACCTCGAAGGAGACACAAAGTGTCCAGCTGTCCCACTTTTACTGGTGTTAAACTTCATCCACCAGATAGTGCACCCATTATAAAATTCTGTCCACTAATGATTTGTGCTGAGATCCACTTCTCATTAGGGGCTGCCAAGTAGTGCTTTTCTATCATTCTTTCTGCACTTGTTAGCCGAAGGTTCTCTGTCGTGAAGATATTTCCCTTGTCAACTATTTGGCTTGGATGGAAAGGCTGGATCAATGTTTGATTCTTTATTTTTCATCTTCATAATAATGAGCTAGCTCCTCGGCACCCCGGGGGAAGTTGTCTTCAAATGCTGCCTTGAAGCATAGAATATTTAATTCTAATGGATATGGGAGGGAAGGGCCTTCCAAGCCGAGGGAAGAGCTTGAGCAAAGGCTCAGAGGCAGGAGAATGCAGGGTGTTTAGAGAACAGCAGAGCTCCGTAGCACGTGCAACAAGAGGCTTTTTGAGTGAGGACCCTGAGCACGATATGGTGGGAAAGCAGGGGAGAGGTCAGGATTGCTGGTTTGACTCCCAGCCATGGGCAAAAGGTTCTCCCCTTGTCTATACAATGAGGACATCTCTCTAGATCAGTGGCTTTCCAACGTTTCTGGCCCCAGTTCACTTTAATAAATACATTTTATACTCTGACCCAGTAAGTGCATCTGTGTGTATAAAAACCAACAGAAATTTCAAAAAGAACTCAGTTGACTTTTACATACAATGTATGTGGGTCTATTCTATTCTATTTCATTCAGTGTCATCCTGTTGAAATAAATGTTGGTTATGACCACTGAATTGAACTCAGTCTCACAGATTGTCGGCAACCTTAGTCTGGGTGGCTCCTGGGGCTCTATTTCCACTCCAGCCCTTTCTGGTTGATCCCTGGTCTTGGTGACAACCTGACGCAGCACCAGGCTCTGGAGAAGAGGGACAACATGAGAAGAGAAGCTGATCACTTGCAGGAGGCTCCTGAGCTGAACATGAGGCAAAAGCCAGGCCAAACTCAGAGGCTGTGGCCCCAGCCAGGCCACCCTCACCTTCAGAGTCTTGACCCCCCAGACCACACTACCGGACACCTGCTGGCCCTGTTTCCACAACAGACTGGCTCAGCCACACCCAGGCCCACAGGGCTCAGAGGCCTGCTCCCTGTTGATCGTGTCAACTTTGAAAGGCCTTCAAGTTTATCCCTAAACAAAGCCCTCCAGTTTAGCCCTAAAGAGCCAGGTGTTAACCTAACAGGAAGCAATTTGGAAGGTCAAAGTCAAGTAGACGGAGAAGAGTGTTGAGAGTCCTGGGGTGACAACACCTGGGTCCCCTGCTCACCTGAGCCACAGACTCGCCAGGTAACTGGGCCAGCGTCCCTCCTGCCCACGCCTTGCTTGCCGCACTCTTAAAGAAGATGCATCCCCTTCTCTTGGAGGGAATGACAATGACCAGATCACAACTGAGCTGAGCAATTTGGGGAAATTTGGGCAGGGGGTAGAGTTGGCAGAACTGGTTTGTAAACAGGGCTCTGGAAGACCTTCCTCTAACTGTGGGGAGTGGGGGAGGGGTTTCTCTCCCTCTTAGGCACTCTCTTCTCTGCTGTTTTCTCTATTTCTCTCTTCGCTGTCACTCCCATTACCGTCCTCATCTTATCTCCCCCTTTTCTCTCCTTCTCTCTCTCTCTGTTTAATAACAGCTTTATTGAGAGATAATTTACAGGATGTGAGATTTACCCTTTTGTACAATTCACCATGTGTACATTTCAGTGTTGTTCAGTGTATTCACAGGGTTGCAGAACCATCACTGCTGTCTTATTTTATTTTTTTGGCACTTTTTGGTAGAGACAGGGTTTTGCCACGTTGGCCAGGCTAGTCTCAAACTCCTGACCTCAAATGATCTGCCCGCCTCGGCCTCCCAAAGTGCTGGGATTACAGGTGTGAGCCACTGCGCCTGGCCACCTCTGTCTAATTTCAGAACATGTTTGTTATGCCCCAAATAAACTCTGACCCATCAGCAGTCACTGCCTGGTCCACACATCTCACCAGCCCCTGGCAACCACTAATATACTTTCTGTCTTGATGGATTTGTCTATTCTAAACATTTCATATAAATGGAATCATACAATACACGGCCTTTTGTGAGTGGCTTCTTTCACTTAGCATGTTTTCAAGTTTCATTGTTGTTGTGGCATGCATCTGTACTTCATTCCTTTTTATGGCTGAGTAATATCCCATTATATGGATATACCAGATTTAGTTTTAGCCATTCATCAGTTGAAGGGCATTTGAATTGTTTCTACTATTTGGCTATTATGAATAACACTGCTATGAATATTCATTGATAGGTTTTTGTGTGAACATGTGTTTTTAATTCTCCTAACTACAGGCTCAGAAGTAGGGTTTCTGGGTCATATGGCAACTCTATGTTTACATTCTGAGAAACTGTCAAATTGTTTTTCTTTTTTTTCTTTTTTTTTTTTATTCTTTTCTGCTGCCACCTCATCTCCCCAAATTGATTTTCAAAGTGGCTGCACCATTTTGCAATTCCACCAGCAGTGTATGAGGGTTCCAATTTCTCCACACCCTCAGCAACACTTCAACACTTGCTTTTTTTTTTTTTTTTTTTGAGATGGGGTCTCGCTCTGTCGCCAGGCTGGAGTGCAGTGGCGTGATCTCAGCTCACTGCGACCTCTGCCTCCTGGGTTCAAGAGATTCTCGTGCCTCAGCCTCCTGAGTAGCTGGGACTACAGGTGCATGCCACCACACCCAGCTAATTTTTGTATTTTTAGTAGAGACGGGTTTCACTATGCTGGCCAGGATGGTCTCAAACTCCTGAACTCGTCATCCACCCATCTCAGTGTTCCCAAGTGCCGTGATTACAGGTGTGAGCCACCCCACCCAGCCAACACTTGCTGTTTTATTTTTTATCTTAGCCGTCCTACTGGATGTGGGGTGGTATCTCATTGTGGTTTGGATTTGCATTTCCTTATGATTAATGATGTTGAGTATCTTTCATGCTCACTGGCCACTTGTGTATCTTCTTTGGAGAAATGTCTATTTAAATCCTTTGTCCAGTTTTAAATTTGATTGACTTATTTTTATTTATTTATTTATTTTGGAGGCAGAGTCTTGCTCTGTTGCCCAGGCTGGAGTGCAGTTGTGCAATCTTGGCTCACTGCAACCTCCACCTCCTGGGTTCAAGCAATTCTCCTGCCTCAGCCTCCTGAGTAGCTGGGACTATAGGTGCATGCTACCAAGCCCAGCTAATTTTTGTGTTTTTAGTAGAGACGGGTTTCACCATGTTGGCCAGGCTGGTGTTGAACTCCTGGCCTCAAGTGATCTGCCTGCCTTGGTCTCCCAAAGTGCTGGGATTACAGGCATGAGCCACCGCACCCAGCCAGTTTCAGCTCTTACATTTAGGTCTATGGTCCATTTTGAGTTAATATTTGTATATGGTTTGAGGTAGGAGTCCAAATGCATTCTTTTGCATGTGCTTATCCAGTTGTCTAAGCACCATTTGTTAAATCTATCTTTTCTTTTCCTTTTTTTTTTTTTTTTTTTTTTTTTGAGACAGGGTCTTGCTCTGTCACCCAGGCTGAAGTGCGCTGGTGTGATCATGGCTCACTTCAGCTTCCTGCGTCTGGGCTCAAGTGATCTCCTGTCTCAGCCTCCTGGGTAGCTGGGACTACAGGCGTGCACCACCATACCTGGCTAATTTTAATCTTTTTTTTTTTTTTTAATGTTCCTTTTTCTCCAGGCAGCTGCTCCCAACCCCAGAACCTTTGCTGTCTTGGGACGGATCACCGCTGCAAGAGGGGAAGTTGCTACTGTGATGAATTCTGCCATGTGGCACCAGACTGCCACCCAGACCACAGTGTCCTCTGCAACCCTGGTAACTCACATACAGGCCCGATTCCACCTACAGCAAAGCTGGATGCGATGGCTGGCAGAGGCAAACCCTTTGCCTGCACTTCAGGCCAAAGCCGGGATGTGGCCTAGATGGTTCCTAAGGTCCCTGACAATCCTGAGATCTTGCATCTTGTCTATTTCAGGTCAAAGGTGCCTACATGCTCCTTCTAGCTTTGTTTCCCTGATGTTCCTTGCCACCTGCTACTCCTCTCTGAGCTACTTTTCCAGGTTCCACAGGGAGAGGTTCAGCTGTCCGTGGTAGACATGAGGGTAGAGAATGAGGTGGTTGGGTTCCACTTACCTTTCTATCATCTTGCAGTATGGATGTCTCTTGACTGGTACCGTGTAGACTTTTGAGGGCACACAGGAGTCTGCAGAGAGATACTGGGGACATTGAGCAGCAGCAGTGGGGTTGGGAGGCAGAAATGAGGACAGGAACATTTACCTTGTGTTTCTCTCAGCTTCTCAGATGACCAAGATGGTGCTGCAGATGGTGCTGAGGATGGAGAACCCACCAAGCCCCGCTAGGAGCCACCTAGACTGGATGCAGAGCATGGTGAGCTCCCTGCAGGTTCTCTGAGAAGGGGTGGATGGCAGCCTGCTCCTTGCCTTTGTGCCCTCCAGGCCCCAAAGTCAGGGAACCAAAAGAAGAAAGGGGCCGTAGCTAGGGCAGAGCTCCACTGCAATGATTGTTTTAGGGGTAGGAGCCAGGATTGCCGTCTGTGGACACTGAAATTTGAATCTCATATACTTTTGTGACAAAACATTCTTCCTCTTTTGTTCTTCTCCTACCATCTAAAAATGTAGAAAACATTCTTAGCCTATGAGTTGCACAAAAACAGGCAGTGGCCAGATTTGGCCCATAGACCATAGTTTGCTGACTTCTGCCCTAAATCATCCTCCATTTCTTTCCTTCTGTGTCCTTGTTACTGACAAAGCCACTTTCCCTAAAATGGGGTCTTTCCCTGTTTGGTGCCATGAAGCCAATATGCAAAACCGAAAGTGAGCCTCAAGCAGTGCAGGCTTTATTTGGTGGCCATGGAATTGAGAAGTGAGAGCTTGGCTCACAAATCAACTTTTCTGCTCGTGAGACCCAGGAAGTCACAGATACAGGGCATCTTTAGTGAAGGGGCTGAGCATTAAAAGCAAGGGGAGGAGTGGCCAGGTGCAATGGCTCACTCCCATAAACCCAGAACTTTGGGAGGCCAAAATGAGAGGATTGCTGAGACCAGGAGTTCGAGACCATCCTGGTCAACATAGTGATACACCCCCATCTCTACAAAAATAAAAATGAAAAAAGCAAGGGGAGGAATCATGTGTTTTCTGGGTCTGGGTGGAGAAATTTTCAAAACCAGAGTGCCACCTTCCTATTTGTTTTTTTATGTTATTTTTTCCCATCATTGTCATGTTGGTTGTTGACTGTTACGGTGTTAGTGGGACTGTCATTTAACATGGAAATTAGATTATAATGAAGTTAGAGGTCAAATGAGCTGCCATCTTGGATTCCATCAGTCTTAGCTGGTTTGATCACCAGGGAGAAGTTTGGACCTCAGGCATCCTGCTTCCTAAAGATAAACAGTGTTAAGGCAGGGTAGATATTCACGGAGGTCATGTGGGTATTGCACTGGATGACATCTTGGCTTCAGCCCTGATCTGTTCAGAGCCCTCAGCACGGTACTGGAGGAGAGGCCTTGGGCCGCATCGTGGCATATTGTGGCTTTGGGGAGAAAGAAAAGCAGATAGTGCAATGGAAAGAGCGTGGACTTGAGAGTCAGACTTGACTTCAACTCCTAGCTCTACCACTTACCACCTAGGTGACCTCAAGCCACTTTCTCAGCCTTTCTGAGACTCTGTATCCTCATGTGTATCCTAGAGTTTGTCTGATAGGGCTATAGTGAGAATTAATTGAATTAAGTATAGTGAGAATTAAGCCAGGTCTGGAGAGGCCTGGCTACTGGTGAGTGAGGTAACTGAGATCAGGTATGGAGAGGACTGGCTCCTGGTGAGTGAGTTAATTGAGATGAGGTATGGAGGGACCTGTCTCCTGGTGACTGAGTTAATTGAGATGAGGTGTGGAGGGACCTGGCTCCTGGTGAGTGAGTTAATTGAGATCCATTAGGGAGGGACCTGGCTCCTGGCGAGTGAGTTAATTGACACCCGGTATGGAGGGACCTGGCTCCTGGCGAGTGATTTAATTGAGACCCGGTGTGGAGGGACTTGGCTCCTGGTGAGTGAGTGAATTGAGATGAGGTATGGAGGGACCTGTCTCCTGGTGAGTGAGTTAATTGAGATGAGGTGTGGAGGGACCTGTCTCCTGGTGAGTGAGTTAATTGAGATGAGGTGTGGAGGGACCCGGCTCCTGGTGAGTGAGTTAATTGAGACTCGGTGTGGAGGGACTTGGCTCCTGGTGAGTGAGTGAATTGAGATGAGGTATGGAGGGACCTGGCTCCTGGTGAGTGAGTGAATTGAGATGAGGTGTGGAGGGACCTGTCTCCTGGTGAGTGAGTTAATTGAGATGAGGTATGGAGGGACCTGTCTCCTGGTGAGTGAGTTAATTGAGATCAGGTATGGAGGGACTTGGCTCCTGGTGAGTGAGTTAATTGAGACTCTGTGTGGAGGGACCTGGCTCCTGGTGAGTGAGTTAATTGAGATGAGGTATGGAGGGACCTGGCTCCTGGTGAGTGAGTTAATTGAGATCAGGTATGGAGGGACCTGGCTCCTGGTGAGTGAGTTAATTGAGATGAGGTGTGGAGGGACCTGGCTCCTGGTGAGTGAGTTAATTGAGATGAGGTATGGAGGGACCTGGCTCCTGGTGAGTGAGTTAATTGAGATCAGGTATGGAGGGACCTGGCTCCTGGTGAGTGAGTTAATTGAGATGAGGTATGGAGGGACCTGGCTCCTGGTGAGTGAGTGAATTGAGATCAGGTATGGAGGGACTTGGCTCCTGGTGAGTGAGTTAATTGAGACTCTGTGTGGAGGGACCTGGCTCCTGGTGAGTGAGTTAATTGAGATGAGGTATGGAGGGACCTGGCTGCTGGTGAGTGAGGTATGGAGGGACCTGGCTCCTGGTGAGTGAGTTAATTGAGGTCAGGTATGGAGGGACCTGGCTCCTGGTGAGTGAGTTAATTGAGATCAGTTATGGAGGGACCTGGCTCCTGGTGAGTGAGTTAATTGAGATGAGGTATGGAGGGACCTGGCTCCTGGTGAGTCTCCTGGAGGCAGCTGCTATCTGGGAACACAGGCACAGGTGGGAACAGACCTTCACTTCCTGCTCACTTAGGTTCAGTGAGTTCTCCAAACCAGCCTCCCAGGAATGCCATTCAACATGGCTGTGAGGAGAATAAAGAAGAGAGCCTGACTCCTCTCCTGAGGCCCCTTCCCCACCCTGAGCCAGCAGGATCCACGGAGCAGAGGTCATCTGTCCCCAGCTTGGCCCACTGAGGCCAGCATGGCTGGGCCCAGGATGCTTGTCTCTCAGCTCCCATCCTGTGTACTTCCACATTGGTTTAACCAGAGGAAAACCGAAATCTACAATTGTCATAAACACATTTAAATGTGCGTAGAATCAGCCATACAAATTGTGAAACATACATTTGGCTCATGGTATTATTCACTGTTTTGTGGTGGTTACAGTGACTATAGCAAACATTTCTTGAAAGTAGAAAATAAGAACCCAGCACCCCTTGAGCTAAGTAATGTGCCCTCTGTCCTCAATATTCCTTCCTGGGCTCCACATTACTGCCCTTAAGTCTGGAAATATTCTGGTCTGAGCCCCGTAGTCCAGGCCTCATGTTCAGGCTTTCTGTCCCCAGTGATGAGAGGAGAGACGGCAGACCTGTCTCCGGTGAGCTCAGATGGGCCTCCCGGAGTCTCCTGGGGTGCACAGGATTTCAAAGATCCAGGAGGCGCTGCCAGGGGCTGTGAGGTCTGATGAACCTCTCACCTTCCCTCCCACACCTGCCCTTTTCCTGTTTCTGTGGATGCTTTTGCTGTCCTTGGCTTCCTGGACTCCAGACCTCAGGGTCATCTTTTGCTTCTCTCTGCAAGGTGCCAAGTCTCTCTAGGTTTTTGTTTGTTTGTTTTGTTATTGAGACGGAGTCTCACTCTATTGCCCAGGCTGGAGTGCAGTGGTGCGATCTCAGCTCACTGCAACTTCCGACTCCCTGGTTCAAGCAAATTCTCCTGCCTCAGCCTCTGGAGTAGCTGGGATTACAGGCGCCCGCCACCACGCCTGGCTATTTTTTTTTTTTTCTAGTAGAGATAGGGTTTCACCATGTTGGCCAGGCTGGTCTCGATCTCCTGACCTCATGATCCACCCGCCTTGGCCTCCCAAAGTGCTGGGATTACAGGAGTGAGCCACTGTGCCCGGCCGTCTCTCTAGTTTTACTTTGCAATGTCGTTCATATCCATCCCCTTTCTAGTGCCACTGCTGAAGTCCTAAGTCACTGCCTCCTAACTGGTCCTCCTGCCCTAACTCCTCCCTGACCAGTCCTCCAGCCCTAAGTCTCCTCCCTGACCTGTCCTCCTGCCCTAACTCCTCCCTGACCGGTCCTCCTGCCCTAACTCCTCCCTGACCGGTCCTCCTGCCCTAACTCCTCCCTGACCGATCCTCCTGCCCTAACTCCTCCCTGACCTGTCCTACTGCCCTAACTCCTCCCTGACCGGTCCTCCTGCCCTAACTCCTCCCTGACCAGTCCTCCTGCCCTAAGTCTCCTCCCTGACCGGTCCTCCTGCCCTAAGTCTCCTCCCTGACCTGTCCTCCTGCCCTAACTCCTCCCTGACCAGTCCTCCTGCCCTAACTCCTCCCTGACCGGTCCTCCAGCCCTAACTCCTCCCTGACCAGTCCTCCTGCCCTAAGTCTCCTCCCTGACCGGTCCTCCTGCCCTAACTCCTCCCTGACCGGTCCTCCTGCCCTAACTCCTCCCTGACCGGTCCTCCAGCCCTAACTCCTCCCTGACCGGTCCTCCTGCCCTAACTCCTCCCTGACCGGTCCTCCAGCCCTAACTCCTCCCTGACCAGTCCTCCTCCCCTAACTCCTCCCTGACCCGTCCTCCTGCCCTAACTCCTCCCTGACCTGTCCTCCAGCCCTAACTCCTCCCTGACCAGTCCTCCAGCCCTAACTCCTCCCTGACCGGTCCTACTGCCCTAACTCCTCCCTGACCGGTCCTCCTGCCCTAACTCCTCCCTGACCAGTCCTCCTGCCCTAAGTCTCCTCCCTGACCGGTCCTCCTGCCCTAAGTCTCCTCCCTGACCTGTCCTCCTGCCCTAACTCCTCCCTGACCAGTCCTCCTGCCCTAACTCCTCCCTGACCGGTCCTCCTGCCCTAACTCCTCCCTGACGAATCCCCCTGCCCTAAGTCTCCTCCCTGACCGGTCCTCCTGCCCTAACTCCTCCCTGACCGGTCCTCCTGCCCTAACTCCTCCCTGACCAGTCCTCCTGCCCTAAGTCTCCTCCCTGACCGGTCCTCCTGCCCTAACTCCTCCCTGACCGGTCCTCCTGCCCTAACTCCTCCCTGACCAATCCCCCTGCCCTAACTCCTCCCTGACCAATCCCCCTGCCCTAACTCCTCCCTGACCGGTCCTCCTCCCCTAACTCCTCCCTGACCTGTCCTCCTGCCCTAACTCCTCCCTGACCGGTCCTCCAGCCCTAACTCCTCCCTGACCCGTCCTCCAGCCCTAACTCCTCCCTGACCTGTCCTCCTGCCCTAAGTCTCCTCCCTGACCAGTCCTCCTGCCCTAAGTCTCCTCCCTGACCGGTCCTCCTGCCCTAAGTCTCCTCCCTGACCGGTCCTCCTGCCCTAAGTCTCCTCCCTGACCAGTCCTCCTGCCCTAACTCCTCCCTGACCGGTCCTCCAGCCCTAACTCCTCCCTGACCGGTCCTCCTGCCCTAAGTCTCCTCCCTGACCCGTCCTCCAGCCCTAACTCCTCCCTGACCGGTCCTCCTGCCCTAAGTCTCCTCCCTGACCGGTCCTCCTGCCCTAAGTCTCCTCCCTGACCGGTCCTCCTGCCCTAAGTCTCCTCCCTGACCAGTACTCCTGCCCTAAGTCTCCTCCCTGACCGGTCCTCCTGCCCTAAGTCTCCTCCCTGACTGGTCCTCCTGCCCTAAGTCTCCTCCCTGACTGGTCCTCCTGCCCTAACTCCTCCCTGACTGGCCTCCATCCAAGCAGAGCTTGAGTATTGCTGGTTCCCTGCTCAAACCCACCACTGGTTGCTGGTTCCCTGCTCAAACCCACCACTGGCACTGGCTTCCCATCACATACAGAATAAAGGCTAAATGTCTGTGCTTGGCACAGAAAGTCATCAACAGGCCCCAGAGCACGTTTCTGGTGTTATCTTCTGCTAATGCCCTGCCCTCACTCCTATGCTGCAGCTGAATGGAACGAGCCATTATCCCCTCAGGAACGCTGGCTTCTCAGTAAACGATTATAGCCCAGAAGCTCTGTCATCACAGAACCTAGCTATTGGCTAATGGGTCAGCTTTGGCTTCATTTCTCTGAATAATTTATTTCAAAACATAATCCCAAGGAACAAGGTTAGGAAAAGGGGAGGGTGACAGGGACAGAGGGAGAGCCTATGCAAAGACGTGTTATCCAGTTGGCCCCTGCTGTGGCTGGCTGGTTGCTCAATCCTGTAAGATCTTCTAAGAAGCTTTATGAGATGTAGTGAGAACCACCTGTCCTGGGGATGAGTCTGTCTGTCGGCTTCCATTCCTCATGGGTTATGAGTTGCTCCACAGGATTCTGGATGTATACAGATGCTCTTCATCTTAGGAAGGGGTTACGTCCCAATAAACACGTGGTAAGTCAAAAATACTGTAAGTCAGAAACACATTTAATACCCTGATAAGCCCATCATAAAGTCAAACAATTTTAAATCCAATCATTGTAAGCCAGGACCATCTGTATACCCAAGACATACACAAGGATGTTCATAGCAGCTTTATTCAAAATAGTGAAAAACAAAACAATCCAAATGCACAGCAATAGGAAAACAGACAAATAAATTGTGGTATATTTATACAGTGGAATACTATGCAACAACAAAAAAGGATGAAGCATAATACTACACACAGCGTGAGTGAGTCTCACAGACACAGTGTTAACAGAGAGAATCCAGACACAAAAGAGCCTATCTATGCATGATTCCATTTATATGAAGTTCAAAGACATGCAGAGCTAATCTATGGTGATAGAGATAAGAATGGTGGTTACACTGAAATGGGAGGATCGCTCAAACCCGGGAGGCGGAGGCTGCAGTGAACCATGATGGAGCTGCACTCCAGCTTTGGAGACAGAGCGAGACCCTGTCTCTAAAAAAAAAAAAAAAATGATTGTTCCATTCTGTGGTGGCAAGTGGGGGCTTGACTGGAAGGGAACACAAGGGCACCTGTTGAGGTGCTGAGCACGTTCTGTATCTTGACCTGAGTGTCGGATACATCCTGGGGATACATACGTACATAAAAATTCATCAGGGTATACGCTACTTAAGCTGGGCGTAGTTTACAGTATGTAGGTTACAACATAAAAAAGAAGTGAATGAACCAAAGAATACTGGGCTCCCTGGCGTTTCCTCTTCTGCAACCCAAGGAAATAAGCCTCGGTGTGGAGAGGGCCTGTCCTCAGGGCCTGGCAGATGTAGGCGATTCTTACCACGTCTCCTTCGGTAAGCCCACCTGGCAAGTTCTCATCCACATAATCTGTGCATGCTCAACATTTGAAACCAGTGGGGACCCATTCGGACCCCAAGAGTTGGTATTAGAGATCATTTTAAAGTGAAAACTGGCCAGGCACGATGGCTTACACCTGTAATCCCAGCACTTTGGGAGGCTGAGGTGGGCGGATCACATGAGGTCAGGAGTTCGAGACCAACTTGGCCAACATGGTGAAACCCTGTTGACTCAGGATGACTCAGATTAGAGCAGGTGACTGGGGGTGACTCAGGATGGAGCAGGTGATAGAGGCTAGGAGGGGGTTGTTTACTGAAACTAGGGGCAAGGAGATGAAGAAAACGAGGAAGTTAAACTTTAAAATGAAGAGCTGAACATACTGATACATTGATTCTTTGGAGAGGATCTCAGAACTCATTGTACTTAACAATTTACAGGCTAAAACCTTTGAAGAAGAATTTATTATATCCTACAAACCTGGGAGGCAGAGGTTGCAGTGAGCCAAGATTGGGCCATCGCACTCCAGCCTGGGCAATAAGAATGAAACTCTGTCTCAAAAAAAACAAAAGTTGGCCAGGGCTGGGCGTGGTGGCTCACACCTGTAATCCCAGCACTTTGGGAGGCTAAAGCAGGTGGATCACCTGAGGTCAGAAGTACGAGACCATCGTGGCTAATATGGTGAAACCCCATCTCTACTCAAAATACGAAAAAAGAAAAAAAAAATTAGCCAAGCACGGTGGTGCACGCCTGTTATCCCAGCTGCTTAGGAAGCTGAGGCAGGAGAATTGCCTGATCCCAGAGGCAGAGGTTGCAGTGAACTGGGATTGTGCCACTGCACTCCAGCCTAGGCGACAGAGCAAGATTCTGTCTCAAAAATAAATACATAAATAAAGTTTTAGAGCAGGAATGAAAGGAAGTAAAGTACACTTGGAAGAGCTGTGTTGGCAACTGGAGAGATCCGAGTGCCTCATCTGACCCTTGACTTGGGATTAATACATTGGCATGAGATGTGAGCAGTGACTCAAAGTTGCTCAGAAAAAAATCTTCCCCCGCTATTTAGTACTGCAGCTGGCACCTGCCCTCCCCACGCACTGCAGCTGGCACCTGCCCTCCCCACACCAGTATTTGGTACTGCAGCTGGCACCTGCCCTCCCCTCTGCTATTTAGTACTGCAGCTGGCACCTGCCCTCCACACAGCAGTATTTAGTACTGCAGCTGGCACCTGCCCTCCCCACACCAGTATTTAGTACTGCAGCTGGCACCTGCCCTCCCCACACCAGTATTTAGTACTGCAGCTGGCACCTGCCCTCCCCACGTCAGTGTTCAGGATTCTTTCTCTCTGTTTTTCTTTTTTTTCCATAGTTTTCACCTTTCTATAATTCACTTATTTGTTATGTTTATTGTTTTGTGAAAGGAAAATAAATCTTGGGCCCCCAAAATCACTAAGCTAAAGGGGAAAGTCAAGCCGGGAATGGCTTAGGGCCGACCTGCCCCCCATTCTATTCAAAATCACCCCCTGCTCACTGAGATAGATGCATATCTGATTGCCTTCTTTGGAAAGGCCCATCAGAAACTCAAAAGAATGCGACCTTTGTCTCTCACCCACCTGTGACCTGGAAGCTTTCTCCTGGCTGCGAGTTGTCCCACATTTGCTTGGCGTTGCCCGGCCTTTTCCAGACTGAACCAATGTTCATCTTACATGTGTTGATTGATGTCTCATGTCTCCCTAAAACGTATGACCACCTTGGCACATGTCGTCAGGACATCCTGAGGCTGTGTCACGGGTGTGCATCTTCAACCTTGGAACAATAAACTTTCTAAATTAACTGAGACCTGTCTCAGATTTGGGGGGTTCACATTTTGGTAACCATGGAGGGATTCTGAGTTGAGGTACCCCTGACCTTTGACAGATCTATTGGTGCTTGGTAGCACCATGAGCTAACCTTATGGCTCAAACCAACAGGACAATTTGCTGAGGTCTGGGAGCACCCCCTCCATAGAGTCCCTGATCTCTCAAAACTTGGTCGTGATCTAAAGTTTATTTGATGTACAACTCCCCCTCTCCTTCTTTTGGAGTTTTATTTGCTTCCAAGAAGGAAGGCAAGATTTCCTGGGTCCGTGATGATGGAAGGCTGACAACTCTTTTATGGAGTTTGAGCTTGCTCCCAGCAGGGAAGACAAGTTCGAGTTTTTTTCCTGCTTCAAGGATGGTAGAGAGCAGTCTTCAGCCTGAGACCCATCCCTAGGTAAGTAGCTGAACTGAGGTTTTGTCTTGGCTGAAGGTTAACAACCAGCTGGTCTGAATTTCTTCTTCCCATTAGAGCAGTCTGTGGTCATATCATTTGACTTTTGTTGTTGTTGTTTTTTCTGGTCTTTCTCTCATCAGATTTGACCAACTCTACCTGACTTGGTCAAATCCAAGTGAGAATTCCAAATTATGGGTAACAAAGCCTCTCTAATTTGGCTAAAATTCCTTGCAGCTGCAAAAGAGGAAAAAACTAAACGAAAACAACAAATCACGTGCTTGGTTTCTGTGTTTGCTTTCTGTCTTAAAAAACAAACAAACAAAAACAACAAATGCTCTTTCACTTACTTTTCTTCCTCCCTATACCTCCTCCTGCCTTTGCCATCTGCGGGACCAAAAAAATCTAGAGAAGGCTTCCAATGACTCGAGCCCCTTTAAAGGATCCGGAACAAAGGGGCCACTCACCCCTTCCAGGGTGCTCTGTTTTCTTTGTGGAGTTTCAAGAGTGATGGGCGGATTCTTCTTAGGTCTAAAGCTCTGCTGTCTTCCTGTACGGCATGACCTGACCTCTTTGGCTTTGGGGGAACCAGAGATGACCCTGCACTGTGAGAGGATTTGACCTTGGCGTGTGTAATGGCAGACGAGAACTACAAAGAAGGGGTGGCTGAGCACAGTTTACAGGGAATGGTCTTGGCTGTTTTTTTGTTTTTTTTTTTTTCTCTTCTAGGAAGCTGTGATTTAAGGATCCTAATTCTAGTTCAGAGATGCATCCTAAAGGGTCTTCTCTATTGCTTTTTCTCCCAAAATGAATCTCAGTTTGGGTTGTCTATGTATTTGCATGAGGAACTGAACTGTTGTTGTCATAGGTAAATGAGAGATTGAGTTTTCTCAGCTCCAAAGAGAAAGGGCGTTTGCTCCTCCCAGCCGAGTACTCCATAGGGTTCATGGCGCCTCTACTTGCCAGAGTTTATGTAAAGTGGAAGTAATATGGTCTTTCTGCACATTTACATTAAAAAAAAAGGAGCCCTGAGGTTGACCTGCAAACTGTAGAGTTCCTGAGTCCTCTTTTTTCTCTAGTTTCTTCTCTGCCTGCTTTAAATTTGCTGTTATTTTTCTATTAAGATAAAAAACACTGTTTGGATCAGATAGTTTTTCTGTTTGTAAACTGGTGAATTTGTATTTATTTCATGGCTAAATTTCTTTTTTTCTTTTCTTTCTCTTTTTTTTTTTTCTTTTTTTTTTTTTGAGGCAGAGTTTCACTCTTGTTGCCCAGGCTGGAGTGCAATGGCGTGATCTTGGGTCACCACAGTCTCCTCTTCCCTGGTTCAAGTGATTCTCTTGCCTCAGCCTCCCGAGTAGCTGGGATTACAGGCATGCACCACCATGCCTGGCTAATTTTTTGTATTTTTAGTAGAGATGGGGTTTCTCCATGTTCGTCAGGCTGGTCTCCAACTCCTGACCTCAGGTGATCTGCCCGCCTCGGCCTCCCAAGGTGCTGGGATTACAGGCGTGAGTCACCGCGCCCAGCTTTCATGGCTAAATTTCTGAAGTAAAAGCTATAGGATCTTTGTGTGTGTGTATATATTTAAAAGGCCTTTATAATTTCTATAATTTTATGTTTAATTGGCAATTAAATCTGTTTTAATTTCCCTCCAGCACACCAGACTTTTTCTCTCCATACGTTATGATGTAAATTTTGCTATTCGATTTTCACCTCAGTTTCCTTAAAATGCAAATTCAAGGCTATTTAGCTGACAACCGCTTAGAGTAGTAAAACAGGTTATCAAGAATTCGAAGGTGTGGCTGGGCACGGTGGCTCACGTCTGTAATCCTAGCATTTGGGAGGCTGAGCCGCAAAGATCTCTTGAGGTCAGGAGTTCAAAACCATCTTGGCCAACATGTTGAAACCCCGTCTCTACTAAAAATACAAAAAAAATTAGCCAGATGTGGTGGCAGGTGCCTATAATCCCAGCTACTCAGGAAGCTGAGGCAGGAGAATCACTTGAAGCCAGGAGGCAGAGTTTGCAGTGAGTCGAGATCAAGCCATTGCACTCCAGCCTGGGCAACAGAGTGAGACTCTGTCTCAAAAAAAAAAAAAAAAAAAGTAAAAAAGAATTTGAAGGTGTAAGAAAAAAGCTCTTTATGAATCTATAAGATGAACTTCTTTCAGCATACCTAATACATCTGTGTATTTATGTGTTGTTGTGTACACAGTGTTTTGCTACTGAAAATATATAAAAGAGCTCTAATTAATTGGCTTAAGAAAATAAAAGCACTTGGCTGGGTGCAGTGGCTCATGCCTGTACTCCCAGCACTTTGGGAGGCTGAGGTAGGTAGATCACCTGAGGTCAGGAGTTTGAGACTAGCCTGGCCAACATGGTGAAACCCCATCTCTACTAAAAATACAAAAATTAGCCCGACGTGGTGGTGCGCGCCTATAATCCCAGCTACTCCAGAGGCTGAGGCAGGAGAATTGTTGGATCCCGGGAGGAAGAGGTTTCATTGAGCTGAGATCTCATTACTGTACACTCCAGCCTGGGTGACAGAGCAAGACTCCATCTCAAAAAAAAAAAAAGAAGCTAGTGATTCCATATCTTCAAATCAAATTTCAGTGGAGTGTTTACCGGGCAAGGAAGGCAGGGGGGTCAGCTTGCTGACAGCCTCAACCTGCCAGCCCTCAGCCTGCACATTTGTGATCACCTGGTCACACACCTGGGCAGGAGGCTGCCCCTCCTCCCTGGTTTGAGGAAGCAGGAAAAGGTACCCGCGAGAGACAGCCAGCAGTTCTGTGGAGCAGCGGTGGCCGGCTAGGATGGGCTGTCTCTGGGGTCTGGCTCTGCCCCTTTTCTTCTTCTGCTGGGAGGTTGGGGTCTCTGGGAGCTCTGCAGGTAAGGAGGCCTAGAAGGGCCTGGTGGGCCTCTCCCCTAGTAGGGCTCTGGGAGTGAATTTCAGTATGAGCCACCCTTCATGGGCAAGGGCAGGCTCTCTCGGGTTGATTATAATGAACCACAGTGCTACTTGTGAAGTGCTATTATTGTTGATAAAGAGTGTGCAAATGACAGTGTGAGTGTAAGCGTGCATGGCGCTGCAGTACACACTAATCAACCATGACGATGTGTGTGAGTGTAAGCGTGCCTGGCGCTGCAGTACACGCTAATCAACCATGACGCTGCCATCGTAAGGGATGGCTGAGAGTTTGTCTTTATGAACGTGGGACAGTAAGTGGGGCACGGAGCGGGGGTGCAGGGAGGTGCCAGCTGGTGATCATTGTGCAGAAAGCTGAAGAATGTGGCTTAACAAGATTCTGACTCCTCCCAGTTTATTACCTAGCATGGATTTCCTTCAAAATACAGATTTCGTGTGAAAAGTCCAACTGCCACAAACTGCTTGGGAAGGGTGGATGCTGACAGGCAGGGCTTTTGTGAAAGACGGGAATGAACCCTGACCTGTCGCTAATAGGAGTTGTGCCAAACTCATCACATACATTAAAAAATAGAAAAGGATTTATTTTTTTTTTAGTTCTATGCTCCCTCTAAACCTCGAGTGGAGAGGCCGGGCGTGGTGGCTCACACCTGTAATCCCAGCATTTTGGGAGGCTGAGGTGGGTGGATCACCTGAGGTCAGGAGTTCGAGACCAGCCTGACCAACATGGAGAAACCCCGTCTCTACTAAAAATACAAAATTAGCCGGGGGTGGTAGCAGGTGCCTGTAATCCCAGCTACTCGGGAGGCTGAGGCAGGAGAATTGCTTGAACCTGGGAGGTGGAGTTTGCAGTGAGCTGAGATCGCACCCTTGCGCTCTGGCCTGGGCAACAAAAGTGAAACTATGTTTCAAAAAAAAAAAAGCTGCAGTGGAGAGTCTGGAGTTCCCATCCCCACCACTCACAGCCTCCCCCATCATCAGCGTCCCCCACCAGAGTGGCACATTTGATAGGACTGAGGAACCTACTTTGATGCATCATTATCATACATTGTATTTTTAATCCTCACAACGGCCCTGCAAGATCGGCCCTGTTTTTACCACCCCCCACCTCCACTGCTTTAAGGGTGAGGCCACTGTGCTTCTGGGCATCCAGTAACAACTCCTCGGAGCCAGAATCTGACTCCTCACAGGCCTGAGCACTGCACCCCGTGGCCTCCTGCCTGTGCTCACCGTGGCCTGGTCTGCGCTGCACGTGTCCCGTTAGCTCCACCTTACAGGTGCGGAAATGCAGGCTTGGAGCTGAGAGACTTGGCCAGGGTCACAGGGCAGAGAGCAGATTCTCCAACTCAGGGTCCCAAGTCCACACGCTTTCCTCTCCACCAGATTTGAAGATTGTACCAGGAGAGCCGCAGTGTTCCAGAGCTACTGAGGGGCTGGGCTGGGATTTGCTGTATTCGAGAAGACCCCCTTGGACCCGAGAGGCTGTGGGCTTGGGGAGCATGAGGAGGTTTCACAGCAGAAAGGACACCCCGGGGCTCCTGGATAAGCCAGAAAATGTGCCAGGGGAAGTCGGGCTCCAAGGGCACCACTCTGGGCTTCCAGCTGTGTGGGCTGGACCAAGAAGGCTCAAAGAAATGATCTCAGGCTTGAAGTGGGGAGAAGAAACTGTATTATGAAGGCAGACGAACAGTTCCTGCAAAAGTGAGATTTGTGTGTGCAGCTGGGCCGCACTGGACCAGGGATGAGAGTGGGTGCCCGGGACTCGCCTATACTGCCTGGGGGTGCAGCCCGCACTCCTCACTATAGTCAGATCAACTATGCGTGCTTTCCAGTGGCCTGGGAGAGGACTCCATAGGGAGGGATGCTTACCTTGTGGGCTTTGGAATATAAGCCCTTTCACCTTCTCCGCTGGTCCTCATCACGTTGGCAAGGCAGGTATTGTGACCCTGTTTTCTCAGGTGAGGACATGGAGGCTGGGAGGGGTCTAGAGACTGGCCTGGCTAGTAGGAGGCTGAGTCAGGATTTGAACCAGCAGATCATCTGACCCCGGAGCCAGTCGTGGGCGGCACAGCGGGAGCTGCAACCGAGGCTCTTGACTCCTGCGTCGTCATTCCCTGAGGTCCACAGGACAACCAGTTGGGGACCTGGGGCCCCATCCTGATGCCCTGGGGAGAGGTGCTAGGCCCCTTTTGGGTCTATGGGCTACTTTTGGGCCAGTGGAGCTGGGTAAAGACCATCTCAAACCCTGTGCCAGGGGAGGTCAGACTCCAAGAGCGCCACCTTTGGGCTTCCAGCTGTGTAGGCTGGACCAAGAAGGCTCAGAGAATTAGGGGGTTCGTATTTGATCCTTTTCCTTCCAAGACTGGGATTACCAGATAAAACACAGGGCATCCAGTTACATTTGAATTTCAGGTAACAATTTTTTTTAAGTGTAAGTATGTAGCCAATATTGCATGAGAAATACTCATGCTAAAAAGTTATTCGTCGTTTATCTGAAATGCAAGTTCAAATTTAACCGAGTACCCTGTATTTTTATTTGCTAAATCTAGAAACCCTCTCCAAGAGGCTCCTTGGCCCACTCACAGGGAGAGCCCGATCTCCCTCTAGACAGGGGAGGCCCCCTTTCTCAGGCCAGAAAAGATCTTGTAGTAAACTACTCAAGAGGCTGAGGCAGGAGGATCGCTTGAGCCCAGGAATTCAAGACCTGCCTGGGCAACAGAGCAAGACCCTGTCTCTAGGGAAGATATCCTACCGTAGCCTCCCTCGGGGACTCCCATTCCTCCCACCTCAGGGCCAGTCAAGGGAACAGGCCTCTGCTCTGGGCAGAAGTGCTGGCAGCCGCTCTCTGAAAAGCTAGGTGTTGCCTCAGGGTCTCCCGGTGTCCTGTGGAAAATGCCTGGCCACGGTTTCCATGGTTCCCAGGCTCCAACCCTGCAGTTCTCAGCCCTCATTCAGGAGGGGCCTCGGCAGGGTGGGGGGTGCCGTCTTTCCCTTGCTGGAGCCCCAAGGACTCTGCCGGCTCCCTCGCTTTGGCAGCAGCACTGCCCACCCTGTCTCTGGAGGTTCCCCCGCCTCAATCCACCCAGCTACCCCGAAAGGCACAATCATAGGCCTTTCTCGTCTTTTAAGGGTTTTTACTTCCATGGGGAACTATGTGTTGGATGAGAAAAGTATCCGGGGAAGGGGACAGAGGTTCAGAAAGCTCTGCGAGTCCTGGACGCTGGTCTGCCTTCTTGGCTCACCCTGGAAGGTGGACGCTGGCCCCACACATCCCCTCTTAAAGACGCAGGCCGATAGCCAGCAGATCCTGGGGCTTGCTGGCCCCAAGTGAGTTGTCAGGGTTTCAGAGGACACCAGTCATGGCAACCCCAGCTCCATGGCTGCCACACAGGCCTGGGCTTCCCAGGACTGCCTCCTTCTTGTTCGCTTATGTAGATGAAAAATGAGGTAACGGCACTCCCCTGCCCCACCCTCCTCCCAGAAGTGCCCAGGGTGTAAACGCAATAGCTTGTGTGAAGTCCACTGGAACCCAGGCTCACCAAGTCAGTCTTAACCAACACAGGCCCCAGCACCCGCAGAGCAGACACTGCGATGACAACGGACGACACAGAAGTGCCCGCTATGACTCTAGCACCGGGCCACGCCGCTCTGGAAACTCAAACGCTGAGCGCTGAGACCTCTTCTAGGGCCTCAACCCCAGCCGGCCCCATTCCAGAAGCAGAGACCAGGGGAGCCAAGAGAATTTCCCCTGCAAGAGAGACCAGGAGTTTCACAAAAACATCTCCCAACTTCATGGTGCTGATCGCCACCTCCGTGGAGACATCAGCCGCCAGTGGCAGCCCCGAGGGAGCTGGAATGACCACAGTTCAGACCATCACAGGCAGTGATCCCAGGGAAGCCATCTTTGACACCCTTTGCACCGATGACAGCTCTGAAGAGGCAAAGACACTCACAATGGACATATTGACATTGGCTCACACCTCCACAGAAGCTAAGGGCCTGTCCTCAGAGAGCAGCGCCTCTTCCGACAGCCCCCATCCAGTCATCACCCCGTCACGGGCCTCAGAGAGCAGCGCCTCTTCCGACGGCCCCCATCCAGTCATCACCCCGTCACGGGCCTCAGAGAGCAGCGCCTCTTCCGACGGCCCCCATCCAGTCATCACCCCGTCACGGGCCTCAGAGAGCAGCGCCTCTTCCGACGGCCCCCATCCAGTCATCACCCCGTCACGGGCCTCAGAGAGCAGCGCCTCTTCCGACGGCCCCCATCCAGTCATCACCCCGTCACGGGCCTCAGAGAGCAGCGCCTCTTCCGACGGCCCCCATCCAGTCATCACCCCGTCACGGGCCTCAGAGAGCAGCGCCTCTTCCGACGGCCCCCATCCAGTCATCACCCCGTCACGGGCCTCAGAGAGCAGCGCCTCTTCCGACGGCCCCCATCCAGTCATCACCCCGTCACGGGCCTCAGAGAGCAGCGCCTCTTCCGACGGCCCCCATCCAGTCATCACCCCGTCACGGGCCTCAGAGAGCAGCGCCTCTTCCGACGGCCTCCATCCAGTCATCACCCCGTCACGGGCCTCAGAGAGCAGCGCCTCTTCCGACGGCCCCCATCCAGTCATCACCCCGTCACGGGCCTCAGAGAGCAGCGCCTCTTCCGACGGCCCCCATCCAGTCATCACCCCCTCATGGTCCCCGGGATCTGACGTCACTCTCCTCGCTGAAGCCCTGGTGACTGTCACAAACATCGAGGTTATTAATTGCAGCATCACAGAAATAGAAACAACGACTTCCAGCATCCCTGGGGCCTCAGACACAGATCTCATCCCCACGGAAGGGGTGAAGGCCTCGTCCACCTCCGATCCACCAGCTCTGCCTGACTCCACTGAAGCAAAACCACACATCACTGAGGTCACAGCCTCTGCCGAGACCCTGTCCACAGCCGGCACCACAGAGTCAGCTGCACCTGATGCCACGGTTGGGACCCCACTCCCCACTAACAGCGCCACAGAAAGAGAAGTGACAGCACCCGGGGCCACGACCCTCAGTGGAGCTCTGGTCACAGTTAGCAGGAATCCCCTTGAAGAAACCTCAGCCCTCTCTGTTGAGACACCAAGTTACGTCAAAGTCTCAGGAGCAGCTCCGGTCTCCATAGAGGCTGGGTCAGCAGTGGGCAAAACAACTTCCTTTGCTGGGAGCTCTGCTTCCTCCTACAGCCCCTCGGAAGCCGCCCTCAAGAACTTCACCCCTTCAGAGACACCGACCATGGACATCGCAACCAAGGGGCCCTTCCCCACCAGCAGGGACCCTCTTCCTTCTGTCCCTCCGACTACAACCAACAGCAGCCGAGGGACGAACAGCACCTTAGCCAAGATCACAACCTCAGCGAAGACCACGATGAAGCCCCCAACAGCCACGCCCACGACTGCCCGGACGAGGCCGACCACAGACGTGAGTGCAGGTAAGTGGCTCCTGCTGGTGATCTTCGGGGATTTGGGATGCGGAGTTTCCAGGACGTCTCCGCACTTGAGGAGTGGAGAGGAGGGAAGGATCTGGAGCCTACTCAGAGCCTGCTCCTGATGTTGCCTCTTCGTGATCTTCTAGTGGTTCTTGGCGAAATCAGGAAAAGGCAGATGGAGGGTTGTGTATGGAAAGGGGTGGGGATGGAAGTCCGGAGAAATGGTTTGCGGTCTCGGCTCTGCCTGTAACAACCCGAGTGACCTTGGGCAAGTCCCTGTCCCTCTCTGGGCCTCAGTTTCTCCACCTGTATTTGGAGAGGGTTGGAATGGGCACTGAAGTCCTGTCCAGCTCTGACCTTCTGTGAAGTGCACTGTTGAGCAGCTCTGGAAGCTTCTATTCCAGCCATAGCCACACAGAGGAGCAGCAGGCAGGCATCAGGCCCAAGCTGCTGCTCTCTGACAGGCTGGGACCCCATGAAAGTGGGGCCTGCTGGATGCATTTCCTGGGATTTATGCCATAGATAGTGACTTAAAATAAATTAATACAGGCCTGGAGCGGTGGCTTATGCCTGTAATCCCAGCACTTTGGGAGGCAGAGGCCGGCGGATCACCTGAGGTCAGGAGTTCGAGACCAGGCTGACCAACATGGTGAAACCCCATCTCTACTAAAAATATGAAAATTAGCTGGGCGCAGTGGTGGGCGCCTGTAATCCCAGCTACTTGGGAGACTGAGGCAGGAGAATCACTTGAACCCGGGAGGTGGAGGTTACAGTGAGCTGAGACGGAGTGAAACTCCGTCTCAAAAAAAAAAGGTAAGATAAAATAAGCAAATACAGCGAAGGCTTGGGAGTTTAAAGCTACATCTCTGAGGCAACAGGGACTTCTCAGGGGAGAAGTTCATTGTCAGAGGCTGCTTGGTCAGTCCAGCTTCTGGTCAGCCTGTAGCCTCCACCTCCACTTCCTGTCACTCTGCCCTTGGGCCTCATCTCTGTGTATCCGCAGCTTGTTACCACCTTTCTGGGGGAGGTGGGAATACAAATATTAATCACAACCACTCAATACATAAAGATATTATTGAATATCTTTCATGTTATAGGCAGGGGTGATATAAACATGTTTCACACCCAGTAAGCACTGGCCCCAGCAGAACGTTCTCTCCGGTGCCAGGCAGTGTGCCACCAGCTTTGCATATGTTATCTGATGCCAGGCAGTGTGCCACCGGCTTTGTATATGTTATCTGATGCCAGGCAGTGTGCCACCGGCTTTGCATATGTTATCTGATGCCAGGCAGTGTACCACCAGCTTTGCATATGTTATCTGATGCCAGGCAGTGTACCACCGGCTTTGCATATGTTATCTGATGCCAGGCAGTGTGCCACCAGCTTTGCATATGTTATGATGCCAGGCAGTGTGCCACCAGCTTTGCATATGTTATCTCCTCTATTTAACCTTCAAAACAGCCTTAGGAGGTGGGTAACACGACCCCATCTGACAGGGTTAAAGATGGTAGCTAAACTGCTCTGGAAAGTGAAGGGGTGGCCTGCCCCTCCACACCTGTGGGTATTTCTAGTCGGGTGGGATGAGAGACTGAGAAAAGAAATAAGGCACAGAGACAAAGTATAGAGAAACAACAGTGGGCCCAGGGGACCGTCGCTCAGCATACCAAGGACCTGCACCGGCACCAGTCTCTGAGTTTTCTCAGTTTTTATTGATTATTATTTTCATTATTTTAGCAAAAAGGAATGTAGTAGGAGAGCAGGGTGATAATAAGGAGAAGGTCAGCAAGAAACATGTGAGCAAAAGAATCTGTGTCATAATTAAGTTCAAGGGAAGATACTATGCCTGGATGTGCACGTAGGCCAGATTTATGTTTCTCTCCACCCAAACATCTCAGCAGAGTAAAGAATAATAAAGCAGCATTGCTGCAAACATGTCTCACCTCCCGCCACAGGGTGGTTTTTCTCCTGTCTCAGAATTGAACAAATGTACAATCGGGTTTTATACTGAGACATTCAGTTCCCAGGGGCAGGCAGGAGACAGTGGCCTTCCTCTATCTCAACTGCAAGAGGAGATCCTCTTTTACTAATCCACCTCAGCACAGACCCTTTACGGGTGTCAGCCTGGGGGACGGTCAGGTCTTTGTCATCCCACAAGGCCATATTTCAGACTATACATGGGGAGAAAGCTTGGACAATAACCTGCTTTCAAGGGCAGAGGTCCCTGCGGCTTTCCACAGTGCATTGTGCCCCTGGTTTATTGAGACTAGAGAATGGCGATGACTTCTACCAAGTATACTGCTTGTAAACATTTTGTTAACAAGGCACGTCCTGCACAGCCCTAGATCCCTTAAACCTTGATTTTATACAACACATGTTTTTATGAGCTCAAGGTTGGGGCAAAGTTACAAATTAACAACATCTCAGCAAAGCTTGTTTAAAGTACAGGTCTTTTTCAAAATGGAGTCTCATGTCTTTCCTTTCTACAGAGACACAGTGACAGTCTGATCGCTCCTTCTTTTCCCTGGAAAGAAAAATACTTTATTATTTGTTGATTAGATAAGACATTCATATGATTTGAAATGGAAAGGTACGAAAAGGTTCACCATAAAATGCCTTTCTCCCCTGGCTGTGCCCCCACCCAGTTCTCTCCACACATGTAACCCGTGAGATTGTCTCTTGTGTGTAATTTTCTGCACATGAAATGTACATACGGAAGCAAATATATGTGACTATTTCATCCTCCTCTTTTTTTTTTTTTTTTTTTTTGAGACAGTTTCGCTCTTGTTGCCCAGGTTGGAGTGTAGTGCTGCGATCTCAGATCACCACAACCTCCGCCTCCCAGGTTCAGGCGATTCTCCTGCCTCAGCCTCCTGAGTAGCTGGGATTACAGGCACGCACCACCATGCCCGGCTCATTTTGTGTTTTTAGTAAAGACGGGATTTCTCCATGTTGGTCAGGCTGGTCTCAAACTCCCGATCTCAGGTGATCCACCTGCCTCTGCCTCCCAAAGTGCTGGGATGACAGGTGTGAGCCACTGCGCCCAGCCCTGATTTTCATCTTACTGTTCTCCATTTGCAGGTGAAAATGGAGGTTTCCTCCTCCTGCGGCTGAGTGTGGCTTCCCCGGAAGACCTCACTGACCCCAGAGTGGCAGAAAGGCTGATGCAGCAGGTGAGTGGGCACTTTCCGGGCCAGGGGAGTAGAGGAAGGGGCGAGGTTCGCAGGGGCTGCAGGGAAGACCCGCAGGACACAGAAGAGCAGCTACCGCGCTTGGAAGGGAGTCTCGTTTCTTACGGAGAATTGGGAGCTGAATCTGAGGATCTCTGCCTGGCTTTGCTTCTGCCTGCCTTCTCCGAGTTCTTCATTTCCTTCTCTGCAATGTAAACATGTGACTCCTAGAGCCCCCAGTTTCTTCTGGTCCTTGGAAGCTTGGCCTTCTGGCCTCTGAGGCAAAGGTCAGTGATACTGATGGGAGGGTAGGTCGGACTCTTGGTTGCAAGTGGCAGAAACCCAAGTCAGGGCAGTTTATGCAAAAAAAAAAAAAAAAAAAAAAAGGCAAGGTCTGAGAAACCTACAAGTGTCTCTTCAGCTTCAGTACGGCTGGATCCAGCAGCTCCAGCGCCATCACAGGGACTTTCTCTTTCTTTCCCTGTCTTAGCTTTACTCCCTTCATTCTTCAGAGTCTTTCTTCATGTGTATGAAAAGGCAGCCTTGTTAGCCATAGATTCACAAGGGACTTCCATCTCCCCACATTTTCTTTTCTTTTTTCTTTTTCTTTCTTTCTTTTTGTTTTTTGAGACGAAGTCTCGCTCTGTCGCCCAGGCTGGAGTGCAGTGGTGCGATCTCAGCTCACTGCAAGCTCCGCCTCCTGGGTTCACGCCATTCTCCTGCCTCAGCCTCCCAAGTAGCTGGGACTACAGGCGCCCGCCACCACGCCCAACTAATTTTTATGTTTTTTTTTTTAGTAGAGACGGGGTTTCACCGTGTTAGCCAGAATAGTCTCAATCTCCTGACCTCGTGATCCACCCGTCTTGGCCTCCCAAAGTGCTGGGATTACAGACATGAGCCACCGCACCCGGCCCCCTCTCCCCAAATTTTCATGTCATCTGGGGAAGTGCAGGTCTCCATGGCCTGCAAGGGTCACCATGACTGACAACCCAGTCAGGATCCCATAGAGGAAGGATGAGCCCCAAGAAAATAGGGAGGCTAGGCAGAAAAAACCGCAGAGATGTATACTCTAGATGAGGACCATGATTGGGATGTATTTGTACAAGTTGGGAAAATTCTCCTAAAACCCACTGGATAGAACTTCCAATGGTAAAGTTCCGGGGTCAGGGTTTTGAGGATGGGGATGGTGTGGCTTGTTGGAGGTTAGACTGGGTCAGCTCAGTGCAGATGTCACGGGCCTGGCCTCACTGAGGGGTGGGTTGTTCTCCTAATGTGTGGTACAAAGTAGCAGATGGGGCATGATGGGAAGTGTCTAAGCTCTGCTCACAGATGTAACCGTGAAAACAGGCCCAGTGCACAGTCTAATGTGGATTGCCTCTTTGACAGTGCCCTTGCTAATACCTGAAGCTTGCATTCAGCACCTCTCACAGTCAATGGGACAGTGCCCTTGCTAATACCTGAAGCTTGCATTCAGCACCTCTCACAGTCAATGGGTGCCACACTGCTGAAAAGTGGCTCAGGCTTCCTGTCATCCCTTGCAAGGGTAAACCTGGCAGAGATGCTGGCTGGGGGTCTTATGCCAGGTGTAGAGTTCATAGCCAGGCTGGACAGGTGGAATGATTGCCCTTAGCAGAGGGAAGCAAGATATGTCCGTGGAGAGTGGGATCCTTTGTTGCAGGCGAAAGAAAACCTCTGTCTGTCGTAAGTAAAAGGGGGATTTGTTGGCAGCGTCCCAGAGTGCATAGAATCAAAGCAATGCCAGGACAGCAGGCTTGGAAAATAGGCAGGAGGGCCCCCAGGAGCTCTGAGGTCCAGACAGTGGGATCAGGCTGGCTGGGACACTGTCCCTCTTGCTGGTCAGTCACTATTGGATGCTGCCACAGCCAAGGGGCATCACGTGGCCTGCACACACATTCACATAGGTTCTCGCTGCCTTTTTGTCTCACTGGACTTTTTGCTCCAGAGCCAAAGTCCTGAGTAGGAACATTTGATAGGCTGAGCTTAGCCCTTGTACTCCCATGAGCCCACAGCCAGGTGCCAGGGGACGGGAAGAAGGGATGTCTGTGTCCTTGGAGTTCTCTTAGCAGCAGTGAGGCCAATCGTGACTCCCACTGTGAGGAGTTCCCTAAACATGGCACGGGGGCTCGACACCCGATGGCCAAATAAGTGACAAATGCCCCCGGCATGTGATAATCAAAGTAGCGAGTGTGAATCCTTGTGGGAGAGGGAAGCCAATTGCTTTTGTTTTGTTTTGTTTTGTTTTGTTTTGTTTTGTTTTGTTTTCTGAGACTGAGTCTCACTCTGTCATCCAAGCTGGAGTGCAGTGGTGCGATCTTGGCTCACCACAACCTCCGCCTCCCAGGTTCAAGCCATTCTCCTGCCTCAACCTTCTGAGTAGCTGGGATTACAGGCCCGCACCACCATACCTGGCTAATTTTTGTATTTTTAGTAGAGATGGAGTTTCAGGTTTCAGCATCTTGGCCAGGCTAGTCTTGAACTCTTGACCTCATGATCCACCCACCTCAGCCTCCCAAAGTGCTGGGATTACAGGCGTTGAGTCATTGCGTCCGGCTGGGAAGCCAGTTTTCTTTTTCTTTTTCTTTTTCTTTCTCTTTTTCTTTTCTTTTCTTTTATTTTTCTTGAGACAGATTCTCGCTCTGTCGTCCAGGCTGGAGTGCAATGGCACGATCTCGGCTCACTGCAACCTCCACCTCCCGGATTCAAGCAATTCTCCTGCCTCAACCTCCCTAGTAGCTGGGATTACAGGTGCACACTACCACTCCTGGCTAATTTTTGTATTTTTAGTAGAGATGGGGTTTCTCCATGTTGGTCAGGCTGGTCTCGAACTCCTGACCTCAGGTGACCCACCTGCCTCTGCTTCCCAAAGCACTGGGATTATTGGCGTGAGCCACCGCACCCGGCCGGGAAGCCAGTTTTGAATCTCAGGTCTAAGCCCCCAAACCAGAAATGATTTCAGGAATCGGAAAGAAACCGCGAGATCAGGAGCAGGTCAAGCAGCTGAGGCGCAGGCACCAGGCCACATGGGGTTGGGCATCAGTTCTCGTCCGGGGACAGCCCAACAGTTTGGGCTCGGGGATTAGACAATGAGCTTAGGAACCAGCTAGATCTGGGTGTGAATTCTAGTTCCCAACTGTGTGATCTTGGATAAGTTATTCTATGCGACTTTCATCCCTTATAAAATGAGGATCCTAACACCTGCTTTATAAGGTTGCTGTGAGGTTTAGATGACATAATGTGTGTGAGGCACCAGCCTGTGTCCAGCATGTAGGAGGCCCAGGAAGGGTTGCCGTCCTCCGCATGCACTCTGCCCCAGTGTCCCTTCCTGTCCTCTGCCTCTGGCGAGCTCATGGGCCAGATGGGCTGAAAGGACAGCTGGCTCTTTTGCTCTCCAGCTCCACCGGGAACTCCACGCCCACGCGCCTCACTTCCAGGTCTCCTTACTGCGTGTCAGGAGAGGCTAACGGACATCAGCTGCAGCCAGGCATGTCCCGTATGCCAAAAGAGGGTGCTGCCCCTAGCCTGGGCCCCCACCGACAGACTGCAGCTGCGTTACTGTGCTGAGAGGTACCCAGAAGGTTCCCATGAAGGGCAGCATGTCCAAGCCCCTGACCCCAGATGTGGCAACAGGACCCTCGCTCACATCCACCGGAGTGTATGTGTGGGGAGGGGCTTCACCTGTTCCCAGAGGTGTCCTTGGACTCACCTTGGCACATGTTCTGTGTTTCAGTAAAGAGAGACCTGATCACCCATCTGTGTGCTTCCATCCTGCATTAAAATTCACTCAGTGTGGCCCAGAGGCTGTCTATTGATCTGCATGCTTTCGCCATTTTTATAGTACAGGGATTGTGTATAGTCTCACTGCTACCTCCTCCTTCTACTCCCCCAGGTCTTGGTTTGGACTTTGATGATAGCATTTACTGAGACGGGCCTGGAGCCTGTCGAACAGCCCGCTGCAGCAGGGCAGGGACCACCTTTGTTCATCTCAGTATCCCCTGAACTAGCAGAGTGTCTGGCCTGCAGTGGGATCGCAGAGAATGTGGAATTGACCTAAATTTAAATTTCAAGTTCTGGACACAAGCCTCAATTATTCCTCTTATATGTTATAACTTACATGCTATTATTTTTTTAAAAAATTAATATGGTTTACTTTTTATTATAAAAGTAAAACTTGGCCAGGCTCAGTGGCTCACGCCTGTAATCCCAGCACTTTGGGAGGCCGAGGCCGGTGGATCACGAGGTCAGGAGTTTGAGACTAGCCTGGCCAACATGGTGAAACCCCGTCTCTACTAAAAACACGAAAATTAGCTGGGTGTGGTGGCAGGTGCCTGTAATCCCAGCTACCCAGGAGGCTGAGACGGGAGAATCACTTGAACCCGGGAGGCAGAGGTTGCAGTGACCCAAGATCCTACCACTGCACCCCAGCCTGGGCAAAAGGGCAAGACTCTGTCTCATAAATAAATAAATTTAAAATAAAAGTAAAACTTGTTTATGATTTCAAAATTTTGAAATATTCCAAAGACCAAGCAAAGTAAGAAGTGGGAAGAGGAGAAAGAAAAACTTTTCTATAATCCCACCTCTTAGATACAACGATTTATTTTTTAAAATTGAGACAGGGTCTCACTCTCACCCAAACTGCAGTGCAGTGGTGCGACCATGGCTCACTGCAGCCTCCACCTCCCAGCTCCAGTGATCCTCCCACCTCAGCCTCCTGAGGAGCTGGGACCACAGCTGGCTAATTTTTGTACTTTGTTTTGTAAAAAAGGGGCTTTACCATGTTGAGCAGGTTGGTCTCGATCTTCTGAGCTCAAGCAGTCCTCCTGCCTCAGACTCGCAAAGTGCTGGGATTACAGACATGAGCCACTGTGCCCAGCCTTATATACAGCTATTATTATTAATGTATACTGTGTATTCATTTCAATTCTTAATCTCTCCACTTGGATGTTGATGAAATACATACCTCACATTCAACATTTCTTTCTTTTTTTTTTTCTTTTTGAGATGGAAAGGAGCCTGGCTCTGTCACCCAGGCTGGAGTGCAGTGGCGTGATCTCAGCTCACTGCAAGCTCCACCTCTTGGGTTCACGTGATTCTCCTGCCTCAGCCTCCTGAGTATCTGGGACTACAGGTGCCACCACCATGCTCGGCTAATTTTTTGAATTTTTAGTAGAGACGGAGTTTCACCGTGTCAGCCAGCCTGGTCTCAAACTCCTGACCTCAAGTGATCCACCCACCTCGGCCTCCCAAAGTGCTGGGATTCCAGTTAATGAGCACTGCTCCTGGCCTCCACATTTCTAAAATCGAAGTTCTGATCTTTTCCTCTGGACCTGCCCCACCTGCATCTTCCCCATCTCAGTTAACGTCAGTTGCATCCTTCAGGTGCTCAGGCCGAAATCCTCGGCACCGTCTTTATTCCCCTCTCACATTTTGCACCAGGAAATTCTGCTGGCTCTAAGGCCATCAAACTGTGCCCAGAATGTGGCCCCTCCTCAGCATCTCCAGTGCTACCACCGAGATGGTCCACGATGCCATCATCTCTCACCTGCACTACTACAGGTCTCCCTGTTTCCAGCTCAGCCCCCACCCCAGTCTAGTCCCAGTGTGTCAGCCAGGGCTGTCTTTTTACAACATAAGGCAGACCACACCACTTCTTTGCTCCAATCCTCCCATTTCACTCAGAAGAAAAGCTCCGACAACAGCTGCAAAGCCGTGCACGACCTGCGCCCCTCCCCTGCCTCCTTAATTTGCTGACTGCACCGCAGCCACACGGACGTCTTTCTTGTCCCTTGAATGCGCTGGGCCTGCTCTTGCCTTGGGACCTTTCTGTGCATTGCTTAGTCTGCTCAGAAGCCTTCTCCTCTACATATCCACTTGTCTAAACCCTCTACCTCCACCTTCATGCCCCTTCTCAGCGAGGTCTACCATGACCATGCTGCCTACAAATTCAGTCTCCCCTTCTGTACTTTGACGTACTTTATAGTGCTGATCACAATTGAACGTCATACATATTTTGTTTTCTTTATTATCTGAGTCCTCCAACTAGAATGAAAGATTTTGCCCATTATGGTTTCCCTAGTGCCAAGAACAGTACCTGGCACATACCAGGGGCTCAGTAAACATTTGTTAGATGAATGAAGGAAACAAGGAGACAATGTTGATGCTGCTGTGAGCAAGGGGAGTCTGAACGTTTGACAGATCCCTTCCATTTCTGGAGTGGGGCAGAATGAGTTTCATAAAGTAGCTCGGACAAAAATAATTCGCTCATCTTGGCATATATGTTGGGCAGCTGCCGCAGAAGAGAGACTGAGCTATGTGCCGTGGAGGATTCAAATCTGTCTCTTCTCCCAGGGATTGAAGTTAGACACGTACAGCAATAATAAGTTGAAAGAACTTATTTACACCGCATATAGCAACAACAGGATGCCCTTAATATATAGAGAACTCTTACAGCGCAAGAAAATAAAAAGGCAAACATACCAGTAGAAAAATGGGTAAATGGCAACAGGTAATTCACAAAAGAAGAAATACAAATGTCCTCTCCTCCCGCCACCACCCCCCATGAAAAAGAACGTGTGACTTCAGTAGCAAAAACAGGTCCATTAATACAGTGAGATATTGCTTATTGTATGTCTGTACTGATCTATACTGGGTGCTGGGCAAACGGGCATTCTTAAACACTCCTAGTAGGGAAGAAATTGGTACAACCTTTCCGGAGGACAATTTAACTGATTTATTTAAAGCCCGAAAAATGTACATACCTTTAACTCAGCAGTTTCGTTACTGATTTATCTTAAGGAAGTAATTTAGAATCTGTGCCTAACTGTTTACAATAACTCATAGATGAAAAAGGCAAAACAAAACACAAGTAACCTCAAATCTCCCCATGTAACAGTTTGCTTAAACACTATAGCGTTATTTTACGCAAGCTACAGAAGCATTGTTGAAACATATATTTATTAGGACAGAAAAAAATTCATGAAATGTTATTTTATCTTCTTTTTTCTTAAAATGGAACTTAAAAAAAATTTTTTTAACTCCAACCTACCTTTTACACCATCTGCAGAGCTTTCCTCTCCCAAATCAAAGCTACTCCTGTTCCTACCTCCAGGATGGAATCCCCACCTTCGTATGCAAGGGTCTTCATGATATGGCCTCAGCCAACTATCTTAGCTCCAGGTCACGGCCCCATCTTCCATATCCTATGCTGCTTGCACAGGAAGCAGCTCGCTAACCCCAGGCACACCTGCTTTCATCTGGAGCGTCTGCCCATCATGATTCCTCCCCCTGGTCCCTTCACCTGGAAAACTCCTATTCATTCCTCAAAGCCCAGTTCAGATGGCACCTCTCCATGACTTCATCAGATTCCCTACAGAGGTGCTGATTTTCTGGTCTCTTGTGTTTCTGTTGTAACACTTAACATGCTGTATTATAATGTGCTTATTTTATTTACAAGTTTGTTACATTGTACGTGCTCGAGGACAAGCAGCCGGTAGTATTCACCTCTGTCATCACAGAAGCTGGCGTGGAGCCCTCCACATGAGGGCACTGATGTGTTTGCTGAGTGACTGGGACAATGGTGGGCCACGTGAGCCCCGAAACTTTCAGTGGGCTCTGAAAGTTAAGAAAAGGGCATTCAGTACTGAAATCACACAAAACGTAAATTTAATGATATAATTGTTCCGAAGCTGCTCTATAATTTGGCATGAATGGAGAGCAGTTTACAAAAATGACAACACCACTGTTATATAAACCCAATTCTTAAATAGGTTTTCTTCTCTTGCTTTGTATTTCCTCAAGTGGGTGATACTTAATACAGTGGCTCATGTAATCTTAATTACTACATATGAGGACACGGACATGTACATATGATGCTGATTACTGTTATTTTTGGAAGTAAAAAAATTGTAAAATTTGACTAGCTTAAAAAATCTGTAAAATATGGGATACACAAATTAGAGACTGGGTGCGGTGGCTCATGCCTGTAATCCCAGCACTTTGAGAGGCCGAGGCAGGCGGATCACTTGAGGCCAGGAGTTTGAGACCAACCCAGGCAACATGGTGAAATCCTGTCTCTACTAAAAATACACAAATTAGCTGGGCATAGTGGCAGGTGCCTGTAATCCCAACTACTCAAAAGGGTGAGGCAGGAGAATCACTTGAACCTGGGAGGCGGAGGTTGCAGTGAGCTGAGATTGCGTCACTGCACTCCAGCCTGGTGACAGAGCGAGACCGTGTCTCAAAACGTCAACAAGAACAACACAAATTAGAAGCATTTGGGAACTAAAATGTATCATTATGATTGCATGTGGGTGGGTTGGGGGGGGACAATAAAGAGGAAGAGAGACTGTGTGTGTGTGTGTGTGTGTGTGTGCACGCCTGTATTACTGGAGATGACCAAAGTTAGCAGGAGTAATGTTACCAAGCTAACAGGAGCCAGAAGTCCCTGGAGAAAACTCTCCAGCTATTTAAGATTCTAAAGTGTGTGTATATGAGGTAAAAATGCCACGTTTTATAAAGACAAATTTAAGCATGGACCTAAACAAGATGGCCTGTCTAAAGTCACCTGTGACTTGGTGTGAGCTCTGAGACGGCGAAACTCCACAGCAATGATGAAGACAACGTGAGGTGGAACTTCTCTGACCAGAGACCTCATCTGAAGCTTCTGCCACAGCCAGTCCTGCCTTCATCCCTTGAGAGGGGGATTGGCCACCAAAGTATGCAAAGCATTTGAATGGAAACGAATTCCGTGGGTGCGCCCCACACTTTAATAGTGGCCATCATATCACTTTCTGGTGCCAGTAAATGCGTAAAGGGGTGCATCATGCCAGTGACCTATCACTCATCATCCCAGTCATTAAGCCACTTACTTCAGGCCTGTGGGGAGTTTCTGGAAGGCTCCTTTGAAGCAGGGAAGAATGGGCAAGGGAGTCTGTGTCTTTGGCCAAGCTTTGCCCCAGATAGCTCCTTTTGCCACTCTCGAGCCCACTGAAGGTGTCCCAGCTGCTGCCACCAGCAGGGGTCGGGGGTCTGCACCCTTCTCTCTTCCAAGCAAACTCACACCTGGCACCCTGGGGAAGGGTCAGTCAGTTATTTTATTCCAGGGGCCAAAGCGACAGAATCCAGACCACTTGTAGCCAGGGAATGAGCTGACGAAAATGGATGGTTGTGTCCTTGTCCTTCTGACTGTCCCACTCGTGAAGGGGCAGCTCCCTGTCCAGCTAGAGAAGGGTGTCCCCAGGTGCCCTCTCCTTTCTTGGGACGCCTCCTCCTCCCGTGCTGTCAGGGCCTCAGCGGCTTTGACTGGGCTCACCAAGAAAACACAGAACAGCCACTTAAATGAGAACCTCGGATAAACGGTGAACACTTAAAAATATACAAGAATGTTCCAAATAGTTCATGGGATATCTTTAAACTAAAACAATTATTTGTGGTTAATCTGAAATTTAAGCTGGGCTGCTTGTATTTTCATTTGCTAAATTGGACAGCCCTACTTTCATTATTATTATTATTATTATTATTGAGACCCAGTCTCACTCTGTCACCCAGGCTGGAGTGCAGTGGTGCCATCTCGGCTCACTGCAAGCTCCGCCTCCTGGTTTCAAGGGATTCTCCTGTCTCAGCCTCCCAAGTAGCTGGGATTACAGGTGTGCGCCACCACGCCCAGCTAATTTGTTATATTTTTGGTAGAAACAGGGTTTCACCATGTTGGTCAGGCTGGTCTTGAACTCCTGACCTCAGGTGACTTGCCTGCCTCGGCCTCCCAAAGTGCTGGGATTACAGGTGTGAGCCACCACACCTGGCCCAGACAGCCCTACTTTTAATGCATCCTCTCCCACGAGGGTCCCTGGCTCCTCTCTTCCGTCCAATCTGCGGGTCTCCTTCAGGGGTAGCAAGCTCCCAGCCTTCTCCCAGGTATTGGGCCTCTCCTCTGCCTCGGGAGGAGCTGTCCATCAAACACAGGCTCTGTCCTCCCGCTCCCTCCATTGCTTAGTGTGTGAAGGTGGACAGGGGAGGAGGGACCTTGGGTTTGGGGCGGTTCTGCTCCCCACTCGCTGCTTTGCTTTTGCTCTTTCTGGTTTCCTTTCTCCGCAGTTGATGACACAGGGCACCCACAGCGCTCACGTGCCTTCCATGGTGGGGGTGAATCCTTTGCCAATAGTGCCTGGTGGGTTTCAGGTAAGTTGTAACTTTTGGACCTTCTGCTGTCTCTGACTTTGAGTCACATGACAAGGTCCTCATGGAATTGGGATTCTGGCAGCCAGGTGAGGGCGGTCTCACCAGCTCCTTCATGCCTGCAGGCCTCCCCCTTCCTCACAACTGATGGATGGTTGGCTCCCTAGCCGCCCCGTTAGTGCCATGTGTGCTTAATTCTTTTAAAAATTTAAATATATTAATTTTAAAATCATCTTTTAAATAATAAAATTTGCTTTTTAGAGCAGTTTTGGGTTTACAGCAAAATTTTCCTGAGTGGAAAATACAGAAAGTTCCCATATGCCCCCTGCCACACACACATATACCTACGCCCAGCCTCCCCCACCACCAACGCCCTGCACCAGGTGGCACGTGTGACAGTCGATGCGTCCACGTCAACATATCCTCATCAAAGTCCAGAGTTGACAGCACATTTTTGGCGTTGGATATTCTCCATTCTCTATTCAACAACGTATCGGCTGGCCCGGCGCAGTGGCTCATGCCTGTAATCTCAGCACTTTGGGAGGTGGAGGCGGGTGGATCTCTTTGAGATCAGGAGTTCGAGACCAGCCTGGCCAACACGGCGAAAACCCATCTCTACTAAAAATACAAAAATTAGCCGGGTGTGGTGGCGCATGCCTGTAGTCTTAGCTACATGGAAGGCTGAGGCAGGAGAATCGCTTGAACCCGGGAGGTGGAGGTTGCAGTGAGCAGAGATCGCACCACTGCACTCCATTCTGGGCGACAGAGTGAGACTCAATCTCAAAAAATAACATAAATGTTTCTGCCATTGTAGCATCATACAGAAAAATAAGTAGTTTCAGTGCCCTAAAAATCCTCTGTGCTTCACTTATTCATCCCCAACCCCTGGCAACCACTGATCTTTTCACTGTCTCCATAGTTTTACCTTTTCCAGAATGTCATATAATTGCAACCGTAAGGTAAATAGCCTTTTCAGATTGTCTTCTTTCACATAGTATATGCATTTAAGTTTTCTGTATGTATTTTCATGGCTGTGTAATTCATTTCATTTTAGCACTGAATAATATTCCATCGTCTGAATGCACCATAGGTTATTTACCCGTTCACCTGCTGAAGGACATCTTGGTTGCTTCCAAGTTTTGGCAATTATGAATAAAGCTGCTATAAATTATGAATAAAGCTGCTATAAACCTCCATGTGCAGGTTTTCGTGTGGACAAAAACGTTTTCTGTCCCTTTGGGTAAATATCAAGGAGTGTGATTGCTGGACTGCATAGTAAGAGTATGGTTTAGTTTGGTAAGAAAGTGCCAAATTGCGGGCGCCTGTGGTCCCAGCTGCTGAGGAGGCTGAGGCAGGAGAATCGCGTGAACCCGGGAGGCGGAGCTTGCAGTGAGCCGAGATCGTGCCACTGCACTCCAGCCTGGGCGACAGAGCCAGACTCCATCTCCAAAAAAAAAAAAAAAAAAGAAACTGCCAAATTGTCTTCCAAAGTGGTTGTACCATGTTGCCTTCCCACCAGCAATGAAGGAGGGTTCCTGTTGCTCCACATCCTGAACAGCATTTGAAGTTTTCAGTGCTGTGGATTTTGATCATTCTTTTTTTCTTTTTCTTTTGAGACGGGGTCTCACTCCATTGCTCAGGCTGGAGTGAAGGCTGGATCGCGGCTCACTGCAGCCTCAACCTCCTGGGCTCAAGCAATCCTGCCATCTCAGCCTCCAGAGTAGCTGGGACCACAGTCACATGCTACCGTGCCCATATAATTTTTTAATTTTTTGTAGAGATGGGATCTTGCTTTGTTGCCCAGGCTGGTCTCAAACTCCTGGGCTCCAGTGATCCTCCTGCTTCAGCCTCCCAAAGTGCTGGGAGTACAGGTGTGAGCCACAGTGCCTGGTGACTGTGGTCATTCTAACAGGTGTGTATTGAGTACAGTTGTGAGCCACGATGCCTGGCGATTGTGGTCATTCTAACGGGTGTGCATGGGTTTCGCGTTGTTTGCGGTTCCCTAATGACATACGATGTTGAACATCTTTGTAGATGCTTATGTGCCATGTGAATGTCTTCTTTGGTGATATGTATGTTCAGTTTTTTTACCCATTTAAAAAACTGGGTTGTTCATTTTCTTATTGTTGAGTTGTAAGAGTTATTTGTATATTTAATTAATTAATTAATATTTTTTGAGACAGAGTCTCACTCTGTTGCCCAGGCTGGAGTGCAGTGGCGCGATCTCAGTTCACTGCAATCTCCGCCTCCTGGGTTCAAGTGATTATCCTGCCTCAGCCTCCCGAGTAGCTGGGATTACTACTACTGGTAGTAGTAATGGCGCCCGCCACCACACCCAGCTAATTTTTGTATTTTTAGTAGAGACAGGGTTTCACCATGTTGGCCAGGCTGGTCTCCAACGCCTGACCTCAATTGATCCGCTTACCTCAGCCTCCCAAAGTGCTGGGATTTCAGGTCTGAGCCAGTGCACCCGGCTCTTTGTATATTTTAGATAAAAGTCTTTAATCAGATGGGACTTTTGCAAATATTTTCATTCTCTTGCCATTGCCTTTCACAGAGAAGAAGTTTTTAATGTTAATGAAGTTCAGCTCATCAATTATTTCCTTCATGGATCATGCCCTTGCTATTGTATCTAAAATGTCATCACCATACTCAAGGTCATTTAGATTTTCTCCTATATTATCTTCTGGGAGTCTTACAGTTTTGCATTTTATTGAGGTTTATGATTCATTTTGAGTTTTTATGAAAGGTATAAGGTCTGTGTCTAGATTTTTTTTTTTTTTTTTTTTTTTTTTTTTTTTTTTTTGCTTGTGGATGTCCGGTTGTCCCAGCGTCATTTATTGAAAACACTATCTCTGCTCCATTGTGTGGCCTCTGCTGCTTTGTCAAAGATCAGTTGACACATTTATACAGGTCTATTAGAAATATTACTTTTAATATTCTGGGCTCTCTATTCTGTTCCATTGATCTATTTGTCTATTCTTTTGCCAGTATCATGCTGCTTTCATGACTATAGCTTTAGAGTAAGCCTTGAAGTCAGGTGGTATCAGTCCTCTGACCATTCTCCATCAATATTGATTTGGCTATTTTGGATCTTTTGCCTCTCCACATAAACTTTAGAGCCAGTTTATCCATATCTACAAATAACTTCCTGGGATTTTGATTAAGATTGTGTCATTATGTAGAATCTGTAGATCAAGTTGGCTATCTTGATCTGCTGCTATCTTGATAATATTGAGAACTGCTATCTTAATAATATTGAGTCTTCTGGCCTGTTGTGCTGGCGCACACCTATAATCCCAGCACTTTGGGATGCCGAGGAGGGTGGATCACCTGAGGTCAGGAGTTTGAGATCAGCCTGGCCAAAATGCCGAAACCCTATCTCTACTAAAAATACAAAAAAAAATTAGCCAGGCGTGGTGGTGTGTGCCTGTAATCCCAGCTACTCATGAGGCTGAGGCAAGAGAATTGCTTGAACCCGGGAGGCTGAGGTTGCAGTGAGCTGAGATGGTGCCACTGCACTCCAGCCTGGGTGACAGAGGGAGACTCCATCTCAAAAAAAAAAAAAAAAAAGAGTCTTCCTGTTCATAAACATAGAATGTCATCCCATTTATGAAGTTCTTTGATATCTTTCATCAGAGTTTTATAGTTTTTCTCATATAGATCTTGTACATATTTTGTTACATTTACACCTCAGTATTTCATTTTGGGGGATGCTAATGTAAATGGTCATATGTATTTAATTTTATTATTCATTTTTCTTTTTTTGTTTCCTGTCTTGCTCAAATATTTTTAATTCTAAATTCCAATTGTTCTTTGCTGGCACACACGAAAGCTGTTGACGTTAGGACACTAACCTTATATCATGAAACTTGTCTGAAATTGCTTCTTTGTTCTGGGGTTTTTTCCTTTTGTCAACTCTTAGATTTTTTTACATAGATGATTGTGTCATCTGTGAACAAAGCAGTTTTGTTTCTTCCTTTTTATTCTGTATACCTTTTATTTCCCTTTTGTGTCTAGTTGCATTGGCCAAGACCTCCAGCAGGATGTTGAGAATCGATGGTGAGAGGGGACGTTCTTGCCTTGTTACTAATCTTAGGGGAAAGCATCTAATTTCTCACCGTTAAGGATGATGTTAGCTGTAGGTTTTTGTAGATATTCTTTTATTTATTTATTTATTTATTTATTTTTTGAGACAGAGTCTCACTCTGTCACCCAGGCTGGAGTGCAGTGGTGTGATCTCGGCTCACTGCAATCTCCGCCTCCTGGGTTCACACCATTCTCCTGCCTCAGCCTCCCAAGCAGCTGGGACTACAGGCGCCCACCACCACGCCCAGCTAATTTTTTGTGTTTTTAGTAGAGATGGGGTTTCACCGTGTTAGCCAGGATGGTCTCGATCTCCTGAACTCGTGATCCGCCTGCCTCGGCCTCCCAAAGTGCTGGGATTACAGACGTGAGCCACCATGCCTGGCCGATCATGTGATTTTTCTTCTCTAGCCTGTTGATGTAACGGATTGCATTAGCTGATTTTTGAATATTGAACCAGTCTTGCATACCTGGGATAAATCTCTGTTGGTCATGGCCTATAATTCTTTTTACATATTGTTGAACTGTATTTGCTAATATTTTGTTGGTAATTTTTGCATCTATGTGAGATATATTGGTCTATAGTCGTCTTGTAATGTCTTTGTCCCGTTTTGGCATTAGGGTGACAGTGACAAATGACTTAGGAAGTATTCCTCCTGCTTCTATCTTCTGGAAAAGATTGCAGAAAATAGGTATTATTTCCCCTTAAATATCTGCTAAAATTCACCAGCGAACTCATCTGTGCTGTGTGCTTGCTTCTTGATAAATGAATGCTGTGACTGCAGTTTTGTATGGAGACTTCATTACATTCCACTTTGGGGCATATGAGGGTAAAGCTACAGCTTTGTATGTAGGAGAGTGGCTTCACCTATTGGGAGAAGTCATTCTCCATGTAAGTTTGGAGTCTGCTCAGATCAAAGACTGTGAAGGTTAATATTGAGTGTCAACTTGATTGGACTGAAGGATGCAACGTATTGTTCCTGGGTGTCTCTCTGTGAGGGTGTTGGCAATGGAGACTAATATTTGAATCAGTGGACTGGGAGAGGCAGGCTCACTCTCAGTCTGGGTGGACACAATCTAATCAGCTGCCAGCATAGCCAGAATAAAGCAGGCAGAGGAATGTGGAAGGATTACACTGGCTAAGTCTTCCAGCCTTCATCTTTCTCCCGTGCTGGATGCTTCCTGCCCTCAAACATCGGACTTCCAGTTCTTCAGCTTTTGGACTCTTGGACTTACACTGGTGGTTTGTCAGGGGCTCTTGGGCCTTCTGCCACAGACTTAAGGTTACACTGTCGGCTTCCCTACTTTTGAGATCTTGGGATTCAGACTAGCTTCCCTGCTTCTCAGCTTGCAGACAGCCTATTGTGGACCTCACTTTGTGATCGTGTGAGTCGATACTCCTTCATAAACTCCCCTTTATATATACATCTATCCTATTAGTCCTGACCCTCTAGGGAACCCTAATACAAAGATTATATATATATTCTTTATATATATATATATATATATATTTTTTTTTTTTTTTTTTTTTTGAGACAGAGTCTTGCTCTGTTGCCCAGGCTGGAGTGCAGTGGCACAATCTCAGCTCACTGCAACCTCCGCCTCCTGGGTTCAAGAGATTCTCCTGCCTCAGCCTCCTGAGTAGCTGGGATTATAGGCGTGTGCCACCATGCCCAGCGAATTTTTGTATTTTAGTAGAGACAGGGTTTCACTATGTTGGCCAGGCTGGTCTCAAACTCCTGGCCTCAAGTGATCTGCCCGCCTTGGCCTCCCAAAATGTTGGGATTACAGGCGTGAGCCACCGTGCCCAACCAAAGATATTCCTTTGGGAGCTTCCTTCAACAGCACTTACCCACCCGCAAGAATGAGCTTGAACACCTGCTTTGCACCATGTGACCTCCTTTCTGACCCCATGACTACATTTTATTGGACCAGGCATAAACAACTGATGTAAATTGGACCAGTCAGATTCTCTCTTCAGGGATTTGGGATTTAGAACTAAGAGGCAGCTACCTAGTTTCTGCATAAAGTTGGAATTGAGATTTTCTAGACACAGGAATTGTGGACCAATTGTGTTGGAGTTATTACACCAGATAGGTGTAAAAGTCCCGCCTGCTGAGAGGATTCTGTGGAAGCTGATCAGGTTGCTGGGGCAAGTGGAGGCAGGGTAGAGGTGAAGGGCTGTGGGATGGAGAACCTCAGAAGACTCCATCTGGGGTCCGGGAAAGGACAGAGAGGGTATATGAGGGGTCGGGCCCTCCAGATCTAAGGGTGGGGTGGTGGCATGTTTCTTGAGTTGGTTCCTGGAAAGGGAGCTGAAATGGTTTAATCGCTCTTCCATGAAACGCAGGCGGTGGGGACAGCCACCAGACAGGTAAACACACTGTGCATTGATCCTTTTACGACTTTTGTGAAACTGATGGACAGGCAGGCAGGGAGGGGTCCTGGGAGAGAGTCTGGGGCACTCCATCTTGGGGTATCTCTTTCGCTCTCCTCCTTAGCGGGCGAAGCTTTGGCCTGTGCTGGGGTGGGGGAAGAAGAAGGTGATGTGGAGCATGAAGCAAGGTTGGGGTGGAGCAACTGAGGGTTTCCAGCATGGGTAACCGGGCTGATTAGGACTGGATCCAGCTGCCCCTAATGCTCCACTGCTGCCCAGCACTTAACCTCCACACTCTGTGCCCTCTGATGGTTGGGAGAAGTCTGTGTCCAGCCCTTCGGCCACCAGAAGAAAATCAAGAATGGAATTCCTGGTTTTGGAGACACAAAAAGTCAGAGAGACTTTATTTAAATAGAGTTAATTTGAAGTAAACCAGAGAGTTTTGTGTGCAGAAGCATTTTGCTTAACTTAGGGCCATCACCACATTATGAACTCGTGTGTGTGTGTGTGTGTGTGCACGCGCGCGTGCACAGGCTAGTGTCCTTCTGTGGGTGTGTCTGCGTGAGGACCCATCCATGCATGTTTGATCTTTATGGCCTCCCCCTGTGCACCTGCGCCTATGGATAAGGTATAGTCTTGTCTTGATTCCCAGTATTCATTCTCCTTGAAGAATCCTGACAGCCTTCAGTCACCTTCCCTTTTCCAGTCTCCCAAAAGCAATGGCGCCTTAAATGTGCGGTAAGGATGAGGTGAGTCTTGAGGTAGCCTAGGCCACAGCTGCCCCTTCAAGGCAAGGCCTCAGCTGAGTTCAGGAAATAGGAGAACCTGGCCCCGGAGCAACCCCAGAAGCGCAGGACCACGAACGTCCCGACCCCCAGCAGCAAGAGGCCGCCCAGGGCCCCAAAGAAGATGCCGAAGAACGCGTCGAGTTTCATGCTCAGGTGCTCACAGTGCTCGCCCCAGGCCGTGTAGATGGAGAAGGACACACAGCTGGTGACCAAGAGAGACAGACAGGCGGTCAGAGGCGGGAGCTCAGCCTCCCAGCCCCTCCTCTTCTGCTGGGGAAGAAGAGGTTCTGTAGGAGAGGCTGGGCTCGCCCCACTCTCCGGAGAGACTGAGTCAGCCCTGAGGCCGTGCTGAAGTGAGACCACTGGGCAAAGGAGGCAGGTGTGGGCTTTAAAAACATGGGCCTGGGCCGGCGCGGGGGCTCACGCCTGTAATCCCAGCACATTGAGAGGCTGAGGCGGGCGCATCACTTGAGGTCAGGGGTTCGAGACCAGACTGGCCAACACGGTGAAACCCCATCTCTACTAAAAATACAAAATTAGCCAGGCGTGGTGGTGCGCACCTGTAATCCCAGCTACTCAGGAGGCTGAGGCAGAATCGCTTGAACCTGGGAGGTGGAGGTTGCAGTGAGCCGAGATTGCAACACTGCACTCCAGCCTGGGGGACAGAGCAAGACTCCGTCTCAAAAAACAAAAACAAAAACCTGGTGTGAATTCAGCTGCACGTGCAGTCAGCTGCACCTGGGCGGCAGGGATGCCGGCCACAGGTGGGCATGCGCAGTCACACCCCCGCCCCAGCCCGGCCCCGCCCCGCCCCGCCCACCCGGAGAGCCGGGCCCCGCCCCACCCGCGCTCCGCCCGCCCCCTCCTTCGGCGGGATCTGGAACTGCAGCTGGCGGAGGGCCCGGAGCCCAGGTCTGCGTGGGGCCGCGGCTTCCTGCGCTGTTAACCAGCGGAGCCCCGGGGACTGCTGATGAGGGCAGGGGCAAAGGCGCCTCGCTTGACTGAGGGGCAGGACTGGCCTAGACACAGGACTGCAGGTTCTTTTCCCACAAGGAGACAGCAGGGAAGCAGCAGCCAGATCAGGTGGGAGGGTTTGACTTTGGGCCCTGGCGCGGTGGCTCACGCCTGTAATCTCAGCACTTTGGGAGGCCAAGGTGGACGGATCACCTGAGGTCAGGAGTTCGAGACCAGCCTGACCAACATGGCGAAACCCCGTCTCTACTAAAAATGCAAAAATCAGCTGGGCGTGGTGGTGCATGCCTGTAGTCCCAACTACTCGGGAGGCTGAGGCAGGAGAATCGCTTGAACGCGGGAGAAGGACGTTGCAGTGAGCCGAGAACGCACCACTGCACTCCAGCCTGGGCGACAAATGACACTCCATCTCAAAACATAAAAATATAAAAAATGTTTGGCTTTGGAAACCATGCCCTGCTGCTTAACCTACTGCGTCCTGGGGCAGGTTCCTTGTCATCTCTAAGCTGCAGTTTTCTCATCTTCGAAATAGTTCTAAGCCCCCCTATGGCTCTTTTGGGTTTCAGAGTTTGTAATATAGCGCCTTTATTCTCCACACAGAGCAGGCACTCACAACTCTCCTTTTCCACTGTCCTCTCTTCCCTGGTCTCTGATCTCTCGAGCCATCCTAATTCCTGGACCCCTTGCAGTGTCTTGCCCAGCTTGGGTTCCCCAGCACTGTCCTCCACCTCCTGGCCACAGCCCTATGCACCTGCAGCGGGGCCCACTGGGCAGGTGCTGGCACTGGCCTCCATGGTCACAGTAGCCCCTACTGCACGGGGACACGCAGGTGAAGCCGCTCTGGGGGCTGTAGACCAGGTCGTAGCCCTTGTAGCCATCGCATCTGAAGTAAGCCTTCAGCGTGCTCACGTTCACTGTCGGGAAGGACACAGATTAACACAGAAAGCAACCGATGAACACTAAATCAGTACCTTTTCAGCCACGAATTCCTTTTCGGGTGTTTATCCTGAGAAATAATTGGAGAAGTGCACAGATACATATGCCCCTGGACGTTCAGATCAGCATGGTGGATAATAGTAACGTTTCAGAAGTAGGGTCTGGTTAAATAAACTACTGCACATCCTTACCAAGGGATGGTGCTTCCTATGGAAAAAGTTTCCTAGGGAAAAAGGTTCCTAGGGAAAAAGGTTCCTGTGGAAAAAGGTTCCTATGGAAAATGCTTTCCTGAAGAGCACATGCTTTGAAGGTGGCCAGACTTGGGTGGAAACTGAAACTCTGCTAGTGACTAGATGTGTAATTCAGGGAACATTCCTTCACTCTTTCAGCTTCAGTTTCCTTATCTTTAAAAGGAAATGATCATAATAGCACTTATGCTGCTGTGAGATTTAAATGAGATAATGTGTCCACAGTACTCAGTACAGTGCCGGACACACAGTAAGCACTCAAACAATGGTAATGATTATTATAATGTATTTTAAAATATGACACTATATTCAAACATACCATCATAATATGTCAAATGGGAATGTGGACAGAATATATGAGACAACCTGTTCACAACTGTTTAATGAGGAGGTTTTCCAACATTAGGAATGATTTGATCCTTCAGTAAAAAATGGATGTCTGAAGGTTCCTAGGCATAAAAGAAAGTTCAGAAGGATATGTAGGAAATACTGTTGTCTCTCTGGGGATTGGGATTACAGGGTTTTTTTCCTCTTTTCTTTTTGTTAAGTTTGTGTTTCCTAAAGTTTCTGCAATAAACATACGATGCTTGTATAATAAAAATTATAGGTTTTCCTTAATTGCATAGTCAGGGCTTGCCTCCCTGCGCCTCCTACCCCAACTCCCCAACATACAGTAGTTCTGAGGGATTTCACCCCCTGCTCCGGGAGAGAGCGGGCTTAGCCTGGATTCTGGGAGAAGCTCTTGCTTGGTCCCAGACCCAAGTAAAACAGCAGTTCCTGTTGTGTTTGGGGCGGCCCCTGCCCTGTTCTCTGCCCTATACAGAAAATAGGACGTGTTATTCCTTTGTTTCTCTGACAAGCTTGCCAACTTATTCCTGTTCCAGGAAAACCGGGGGCTGTCAGCACTGAAAGGGGGCTCAGAAATCCCATCTCATTTTCAGATGGGGGTGCTGAGGCCTGGCCTGGGGAAGGTGCTTGGGGAGTGTTGAGGCCTGGCCTCGGGGAGGTGCTGGGGGGTGTTGAGGCCTGGCCTGGGGAAGGTGCTGGGGGGTGTTGAGGCCTGGCCTGGCCTGGGGAAGGTGCTGGGGGGTGTTGAGGCCTGGCCTGGCCTGGGGAAGGTGCTTGCACAGGGTGACACCATTTCAGGGAGTAGTTGCCTCTGTCCCTGGCCAGTCTCCAGTCTCCAGCTTCATATCCTCCCGCTGGAGAGCAGAGACGATGGGGGTGTCCCTGTGTATGCTTAAGTGCAATGGCATTTTAAGAAAACTATTAGCAATTTTATGAAACTAAATTGCTGCTGTTTTATTAGCAGCCACAGTCAGCAAGGCCCTGGCTGGGTGCTTGCTCCGTGAAGCTGTATACGTGTGACTGCCTCAGCAGTGCTGGCTGCTCCTGCTCTCGAATCTAAAAAGCAGCTGGACAAAATGTTCACGTTTTCGCTCAAAACCAAACAAACAGAAAAACTCAATTAGCTTGTTTGTGTGGGCTGAAGCACCTCTGTTTGCCCGCCCCCCGCAGTGACCCCCATAGTGTCCCCGGAATGGACGGACTCACGGGCTGTCACATCGCGCACGTCTTCCCCGGAGATGGGCTGGAAGACCACGTCGTTCCTGGGCTCCTCACTCCTCCGTGGAACGTGGTATAAGAACGCCTCCACCACCGCGGCCAGCAGCTGGTTGTTCAGGAAGTCAATGACCGGGCCCCGAGGGCGGTACTGGAACTCCGAGATGACCATCCAGTGTTGGATGGGGCTTCCCGAGGCCGGTGCTGCAGAATCGCTGTGTGGGAGGGCAACGGTGAGGGGGGGTGGGGGGCTGGGGGTGGGGGATGAGGAAGAGATCTGGGGGCTTAGGGGGACACAGTCCCACTTACATTCGTTCCACTTGGCTGTTGCGGAGAAAGGCCCGCATGTCCAGGGTCCCCAGTCTGTATGCCACCTAGGTTAGAGGATGGCAGATGGGGGTGGGGGTGAGGCCCCATCCGGGGGGGAGACGCCCTCCCACCTTGATGGGTGTATTCATCCCTGTTTCCTCCTGGAACGGGAGCCCCAGGACCCCAGCACCTTCCTCACCTGTCTCTGCACCCTTGCACTCTAGCCTAGCTCAGTGAGTGTCATGGGTCCTTGCTTAATAATGTTTGTTGAGAGTGAAGGGTTTTCCATTCTGTCCCCCCCTCAGCCTCATATGACGAGCAGAGAATCTGACATGAATGGCCCCTACCTTGCCTCTGACACATGACTCATGACCTCCTCCCCAGTATATTGAACATGGGTTGTTTAGACCTAGGAGATGGTCGGGGCTGGGGGTGTCAAGGTGACTTAGGTGGAGTCTAAACTCAAAGAGTGCATTGTCTGGCGCAGGTGACAAATGTCAACAGATTTTACCGTGTGGAGTGTGGAGTGGGGAGTGCTAGGCTTGCAGTAGTGATAATAGCAGTCATCATGTTTGAATACTTGTGTGTCAGGCACTGGACTAAATGCTTGACACGCGTTATCATTTAAACGGTGATACGGCCTGTTGACTCAGGTGCTATGATTGTCCCTGTGTTTACAGATGACCTGTTATATGATGTGTCTAGTTAGCACACCTGCTCTAGTGAGGGGCAGAGCAGGGATTCTGATTCTGGGTGTGCAGGATTCTACAGCCCCAACCACTCAGCAGTTGTGCCACTTTGCCTGTGACTGAGGTATGGCATGGCAGCCAAGAAGAGGGAGCCGCCCGTTCCCTCTGGGAAGTCAGGGAAGACTCCCGGGAGGTGAAATGTCCTTTAGTTTCTTTCAGATCATAACCAAGATGCTTAGAGGTCTCGGCTGGGGTGACTTGGCACCCTGGCCTCTGCTTATGATGAGTCGAGGTTTCTGTCTTGGGCCTTCCTCACTTCCTAATGCCCTGCACCTCCCATGGGGCAAGAGGCTCCGGCCTCCTCTGGCAGTTGAATCCAGATGGATGACAAGATGAAGGCCGCACAGCGATGGTTCCGCCCTGGCCTGAACCCGCCAAGCGCCCCCTCCCACCCAGAGCGCGGCCTGCAGCACTGACCGAGGCGTTGACTTCTGCCATGGAGGCATTTTCCTCTTCACTGAGCAAGAGCTGGATGACTCTTAAGGGAAGTTCTGGAGATGGGAGAAGCAAATGTATCATCACCCCACGGTTTACCCAGACTTACCCAAAAAGTCTGTCGGGCCAGCCCAAGTTGACTGCTCCATTCCAGTGACAGAAGGTCACTGAAGAAACCGGGAGAAGTGGCCCTCACCCTACATTCCACAGTGACAGAAGGTCGCTGAAGAAACCGGGAGAAGTGGCCCTCACCCTACATTCCACAGTGACAGAAGGTCGCTGAGCAAACCGGGAGAAGTGGCCCTCACCCTACATTCCACAGTGACAGAAGGTTGCTGAAGAAACCGGGAGAAGTGGCCCTCACGCTAGGGCTCACTCCACTATGCTCCGGGCCTCCCCAGCGCTCATCTCACTGAGCCAGCTGTGAGGTCTCTGCCTCCGTCCTTCCTCCATAGGCCACACAGGCCCGTGGTCCTTGCCGTGACAGCTTGCCTCGCCAGCTCCCATAGCCCGCACCTTACACCATCCCAGAGAAATCTGGAGCTCTGTCCTGTGACCCCAGAGCTTCCTCATCTTCCCCAAAGGTGGGCGGAGTGCGGGGGTGAGAGGGTGGGGCCCAGGAAGAGTGCGGGGGTGAGAGGGCGGGGTCTCTGGCGGTACCTAGGTTGACAGTTGGACTGAAGTTGTTCCCAGCCAGGAAGCAGCGGCTGTCAGTGAAGGCTGGGGGGCAGGTGCACATGGGCTGACAGCCCAGAGTCTGGGAGATGTAGCAGTGGCCTTGATTGTAGCAGTAATTCACAGGGCAGGACTGGTTCTGACACAGGAAAGAGCTCCCCAGAGCTGCAGAGTGAGTAGGGAGGTCAGCAGCAGCGCGCAGGGCAGCAGAGGGACGGCCCAGCCCGTGGAAACCCGCTCCGGGACAGGCTTGCTTTCCCCCAGTGTTCCACTTCGGGCCACTCGGAACCCCAAACCATCCTTCCCCCCTTTTCCAGGCGTTTCTCTGCAGGGCAACCCCTTTCCCCGGCCAGACAGGTATTCTTCCACTTTTGTGGAGGGACTGGAGTGTTTCTCAGACCCTCTGCTTCAGAAAGGACCCCGAAGGCTGGCAGAGGAGGGGCCCCCAGCTGGCTTTCCTCACGCCCTCCCCTCTCACGTCCATCTCCTTTTCTGCCTTTATAAAAGCTGCGGTTCTACCCACTCTGGCCTCGGCTCTGAAGGCACAGTGATCTGTAGATTTTATTTGGGTGCCTTAGGGGGCTTGGTAAAGGCCTCGCTGTGATCTCCCTCATCAGACTCTGGTGACTCAGAGCGGGAGGAACAGATGGCTGGGAGGACTCAAAGGGAAAATCAGGCACCTTTGCTGCCGGATCCCCACGCCAGCCCCTCCAAACGTCCTGACTCGTGAGATGCAGAGATCCTGAGCCTCGTGTCTCTGAAGATCCCCAGGGATCCCGAGGACCCAGCTTGCCCGGTTCTCTGGCGGCTGCTGAAGTCTCCTCCCCAAACCATCTTCAGTCTTTCGCCCGGGGCTCCCCCCATCAATGCCTCAGGGATGCCCAGCCCCGTCCCCTCCCCTATGCCTGTACAACCTCTTCTCCTTCAGCCCCACACCATCCACCACCCCCTTTCCAGGCCTGCCTAGATTTCCCATACCTGCCTAGATGATTTCCCACACCTGCCTAGATTTCCCACACCTGCCTAGATTGAGCATTCTAAAGATCTGCTGGAAAAAGGAGAGAAATGGTTTGCCTTTGGCTGTCTACACCCTTGAGCTATCAGCTGCTCCCAGAAGCGCCTGCTCCAGGCCCTGTTCCCGGCTCACCCGCACAGTGCCGCCCATCCCCAGTCAGGTTTGGAGGGCAGGCCTCGCAGCCCTTCCCAGGAACGCAGTGGACACTCGGGAAGCACGGCTCCTCACAGGCATCCTCGGAGCCCTCGCAGTAGCGGCCGAAGGTGCCCCCGTCACACTTGCAGCCAGCCACCTGGAGGAGGGTTGCCGATCACGGGCGGCCAGGAGACCAAACTGGGAAGGGCTTCTGGGTGTTTCTGACTGACCCCTTTGGCCTGAGAACCCGTGGACCCTGAGTCATGTCTCAGCCCCACCAGCACCTGCTGAGCACCTTCTTGACCAGGCCGTGGGGCGGCAAGGCCCTGCCTAAAGCCACACGGTAGTCCTGCCCAGCTGGCCTCCCTGGGTCATTGTTTACCCTGACCCCCTGCCTGGCCCTGCACCAGGATCTCAGCCTCTTCCCTCTCACACTCTAGCTCTTTGCCTGAAATCCTTTCTAGAGTAAGATGGGGGATGCATGAATGATTGAAGCATGAATGAATGAATGAATGTATCCATGTATAGATGTATGTATCCATGTATGTATGTATCCATGTATGTATGTGTGTATCCATGCATGTATGCATGTATGTATCCATGTGTGTATCCATGTGTGTATGTATCATGTATGTATCCATGTAGATATGTATCAATGTATGTATCCATGTATGTATCCATGTATGTATGTGTGTGTCATGCATGTATGCATGTATCCATGTATGTATCCATATGTGTGTATCCATGTGTGTATGTATCCATGTGTGTATGTATCCATGTATGTCCTATTGCTTGAAAACTGGATTCCTTATTTATTTTGAGACAGGGTCCCACTCGGTTGCCCAGGCTGGAGTGCAATGTCTTGATCTTGGCTCACTGCAAACTCCACCTCCCAGGTTCAAGCCATCCTCCCACCTCAGCCTCCCGAGGAGCTGGGGCTACAGGCATGCACCACCACGCCCACTAATTTTTGTATTTTTCTTCTGCTTTTTTTTTTAATGAGACAGTCTCGTTCTGTTTCCCACGCTGCAGTGCAGTGTCTCGATCTCGGCTCACTGCAATGTCCCCCTCCCAAGTTAAAGCAATTCTTGTGCCTCAGCCTCCCAAATACTTGAGATTACAGGCATATGCCACCACGCCCAGCTAATTTTTTGATTTTTAGTAGAGACAGGGTCTTGCCATATTGCCCAGGCTGGTCTCAAAGTCCTGAGCTCAAGCAATCCGCCTGCCTCAGGCTCCTATGTGGCCTGCAAACTGGATTTCATATAAGCTGAAATTGACCTCCCTTGCTGACTCCCAAACCAAGAAGACAGAGCCTCCCTGCTGAGCACTGTGAGAAAACACAGCAGCCAGTACAGCAGCTCAGCAAAGGCTGCGGCGCCGAGACCTCACCAAGCTCCCTGCGCTCCCCTTTCTAACTCCCTTACTGAAGCGACTCGGGGAATCTCCCTAAAATGGAATCCTCTAACACTTGCTACTCCCAAGAGTGGATATTTGGGGATCTGTGGAATAGTATATTGATTTCAATCTCTTTTTCCCATTGTGTATTTTATGCTTTTCTACCCCCTACCCCACCAACCGTCCCTACCTCTATCCCTTTCGAGTACCCATTCTCTGCTCATGCTTCAGAAGGATGTGTGTGTGTGTCTGTGTGTGCGTGTGCATGCGTGTGTGTGTAAGTGGTGAAGGAGGTAGTTTTGTGTTGCCAGATAAACACTTTCCTTTCTGGCTCTTCCTTTACAACCAAAAATAAAAATAAAAAAGCAGATAGGACAAGAGTCGTGGAATTAGGCCAAGTATCTTGGCTAGAAACATGGAGAAGTAGTTTCTCCAAACTGGAAAAGATGTTTCTTTTAGCTGGAAGGAGATAGTAAAAGAGAAAGCAAAGGGGCTTGGAGGTGTCAAGATAGAGGGACCCGCAGCTCTCTTCCCAGCACCGTGATGATGACATCCTAGGGAGAAATGACTGTGGGGTGCTTCTAGGCAGACAGGACTGTAAGCGGCCTCAGAAAAGGTGTCCTGTGTCTGAGCAAGGCACAGAAGCAGCAGAGCCTCTCCCTGGGTCTGAAGGGGAAGTGGGGCGGAGCTGTGATGGAAACCTGTGTGGACTCACGCCCAGGGACCCACAACCACCTTCCACCCCACACCGCAGGGCCCTCTGCTGGGCTTCGCCGCAGAGCTGTGGGGCGCTGTGAGAAAGACGGAGGTGGAAGTTTCCTGCCAACCTGGCAGAAGGGGAGGTGGGAGATAAAAATCCAGTTGAACTATAAGCAATAAAGTAAGGTTCTTTCCTCTTTCCTTCCTTCCTTCCTTTTTCTTTCTTTCGTCCTTCTTTTTCTCCAATATAGTTTCTTTCTTTCTTTCTTTTTCTCCTTTCCCTTTCTTTCCTTTCCTTTCTTTCCTTTCCTTTCTTTCCCTCCTTCTTTCTTTCTTTTCTTTTCTTTTCTTTTCTTTTCTTTCTTTTTGACATAGAGTCTCACTCTGTTGCCCAGGCTGGAGTACAATGGCGCAATCTTGGCTCACTGTAACCTCCACCTCCCGGGTGCAAGCGATTTTCCTGCCGCAGCCTCCCGAGTAGCTGGGACTACAGGCGCCTGCCACCACGCCCAGCTAATTTTTGTATTTTTAGTAGAGATGGGGTTTCACCATGTTGGTCAGGATGGTCTCGATCTCCTGACCTTGTGATCCGCTTGCCTCAGCCTCCAAAAGTGCTGAGATTAAAGGCGTGAGCCACTGCACCCGGCCAGAAAGTTCTCTTTCTTCCCATGTGAGTTTGTGGCCTGAGACTGGAATCTGCTCTACTCACCTACCACTGCTCCACCCATCTCCCAACACAGACACACCCAGGACAGGCAGAATCACAGCATCCATTCCACTCCCATTTCCTCTCCCCTCGGCACAGAAACTCCTCCCCCACCTCCCAACACTCACCTCCAGGGAGGAGTTGCCCACCCTGCTGGTCTGATTGTACAAACACTGGCTCTCTGCATTGCAATGGCAGACCACAGTCCTGGGCTGGAGTGCAGATGCCAAGCCAATCTTGGCACTTCTTGCTAGAATCTCCAGAGTGAATGGCTCCAGCGACTTGGGTGTCCACAGCAACGTCCCATTCTCTGCCCCGGGGAAGATGAGAATGTTGAGAGCTGGGAGACTCCTCGGCTCTGTGGTCTGATTGCTGATACGGGGCTTCCCCCACCCCTCTCAGGCCACCCTCCCCCTCCCCAGACAAATCTCATTGGTCATTTCCTTTGAGCAAGGCTGGTATCGGGGGTGATCCTGGTCACGCTCCCAGCTGGAAGGACGTGGCACCAGTCCAACATACTGATTGTAGCGGGGAACGCCACAGAGGGGAAAGCAGTTTCCTCCTGAAGAAACCCCAAAGGGCAGCCCTGGCTGGGCTCACACCAGGATGGGACATCCTGGGGGATGGAGGATCAAGGCCAGGATCCTCCAGACACCTCCCCAGGCTGCGCTGCCGGCCAAACTGGCTTCACTCTCACGGCAGCCCCATCCTTTGCCCTGATTTCTCACCCACCCCCCACTTCCTGGACCTTTCCCAGACACCCCCTTCAGACACCAGACTGTAGTGAAACACTACTACATATCTTCAGATCAAACTGATATTTTTCAAGAAAATAGGAAAGTCTCCTTAAAACAGCAGATTGAAAGGAAGTGACAGAGAATAGACGAACGTAATTTCCAGACCATCGTCCTTCAGGGGTGGGGCCCGTGGAGAAGAAAACCTCTCAGTGCCATTGTCTCGCACCTGGGAGGACGCACATGGGGCAAAAGGGATGCAGGCAAAGCAGTCCCTTCTGAGACACAGAGAGAAAGAACATCAGGCAGAGAGGCAAAGAGAACGCAAAATATGCCCCCCGGGGCTTTGGTTTAGCCAAGAACAGTCACCCTCAGAATTAGTGCTGGCAACAGACAGAAAGTGGCATCCCTTTGATGCCCTTGGACCCTTTGAATTAGTGCTGGCAACAGACGAAAGCAGCGTCCCTTGTGCTTGGAGCCTTTGGCCCTGATCATGGATGTAGGGCTCGGGGTCTCTAACACCTTTACGGAGAGGGAGCGATGGCACTCTACTGGGTCCTAGCCCAGGAAACCAGACAAGGAGAGACACGGCTAGGTAAACATGGTTGCCAGACAAAAAGAGCAAGAAAGGTACCAAACGAAAGTATTTTTCATATTTCTTTAAATCTTGTCCTACATTAGAGCCTTCCTTTAATAGATATAAAAATGTTGTAAATTGGTCATTTTAAATGTTGCACTTGATTATTCTAATAATTTGGTGAATGCATAATGACTAAAGATGACTATATATGATCAGATTGAGATTAAATGATCTTCAAATCTTTTTTTTGAGACAGAGTCTCGCTCTGTCACCAGGCTGGAGTGCAGTGACGCGATCTCAGCTCACTGCAACATCTGCCTCCTGGGTTCAAGCGATTCTCCTGCCTCAGTCTCCTGAGTAGCTGGGATTACAGGCATGCACCACCATGCCTGGCTTTTTTTTTTTTTTTTGTATTTTTAGTACAGACGGGGTTTCACCATGTTGGCCAGACTGGTCTCGAACTCCTGACCTCAGATGATCCGCCCACCTCGGCCTCCCAAAGCGCTGGGATGACAGGCATGAGCCACCGCGCCCAGCCTTGAATCAGTTCTATGTGCCCAGAGTCACTCTAGCTATCTGGCCAAACCGCCGTAAGCCCGTCACTACTACTTACTGGGGGGCACCTATTTGAGTTATAGATATCGCTCCTCGGAAATGCCGGTCCTGGATATTCAAATGAAAGAGTGACAGCAAGTGTTGCTGGGTGTAGCAATGCAGAATTTCCCAAATTTGACTCTGACCTCATCCCCTACCCACCTCCCCACTCTCCCCAGCCAGCCAAATAGTCCTACCAAAGAGCTCCAAGTCGGTGCAGCTGTCTCTGAGCGTGAAGTTGGCATCCTCAGCATTGCTGGTGTACTGAATCAGCGTGGTCTGCCCCTTGTAGGCTTCAATCACACGACCACCATTGATGGAGGGCGGGTACTGATCTGAAACACAAAGAGGGAATGGGGGTTCCGAGGCAGGACAGTCTCCTGCTTTATCAGCCTCCTCTCTTTCTCAACTCTAATATGTGTGAGGCATTCCCAGGACTGTGACCCACCTCTGGAAGAAGGAATTATTCTGTGTACCTGCTCTCGACTGACGCACAGCAGGCTGGGACTGTACTGCCCACCTAGCCAAATCTTTAGCCTCTTTCTCTCCCCCCACCTCCTCAAAAAGAGCTCCTTTCAGATTCTTTCCTGAACACAGTGCTATGCTGGGTATGACAAAAAGTGAATTAGAGAGCAGATTTGTTTGGACCATTACAAAGGGTTGTACCCTTAGACCAAAGGGTTGTACCTTTGGCAAAGGGCTGAAAACCTGAAGGGTGCTGGGTGTCTCATGTCTGTAATCCCAGCACTTTGGGAGGCCGAGGCCGGTGGATAACCTGAGGTCAGGAGTTCGCGACCAGCCTGACCAACATGGTGAAACCCTGTCTCTACTAAAAATACAAAATTAGTCAGGCATGGTGGCGGGTGCCTGTAATCTCAGCTATTCAGGAGGCTGAAACAGAAGAATCGCTTGAACCCGGGAAGCAGAGGTTGCGACGAGCCGAGATCACGTCACTGCACTCCAGCCTGGGCAACAAGAGCGAAACTCCGTCAACACACACACACACACGCACAAAACCTGGAGGGTCACATCTAAAGGGACATTGCATTTGTCCAGAAATAGAGAGGGAGTGAAACCTCTTCACGGGTCTGTTTCTCGGAGCCCTGCCATTTCCATTTCATAGTTGCTTCACACATTCATTCAGTCAGTCATTTAACAAACATTTATTGAGCTAAGTGGCTGGCACTGTTCTGGGTGGTGAGGATACAGTCATGAATGAATAATTAAAAAGATACCTGTGAAAATTATAAAATATGTTGAGTAATTATAAATGCTAAGGAGAAAAAAATAAAGCAGGGAAGGCAAACATGAAGTGTGGGTGAATGTGACATTTTAGACAGGGCGGCCAAGAGAGGCCTCACCAAGGAGGGGACATTGGAATGAAGACGTAAAGAAGGTGAGGGGCAAGCGTGTGGCTGTCCAGGGAAGGAAGGGTATTCCAGGCAAGAGAACAGCACGTGTGAAGCCTGGGAGCTGAGCGCACCTAGCGTGTTTGAAGAACACAGAGGAGCCTGCGGGGCTGGAGTGCAGGGAGCTGGGAAGGGGTCCAGCGCTAGGATGGAGTGGAGGGGGCTGGGAAGGCATCCAGCGCTAGGATGGATGGAGGGGGCTGGGAAGGGGTCCAGCGCTAGGATGGAGTGGAGGGGGCTGGGAAGGCGTCCAGCGCTAGTATGGAGTGAAGGGGGCTGGGAAGGCATCCAGCGCTAGGATGGACGGAGGGGGCTGGGAAGGCGTCCAGCACTAGGAGAAGAGCTCTGAGAAGCTGAACTGGGCCGAAGGCCACTGCAAGGATGGAGAGAGCCAGGGAAGTCTCTGAAGGGTTTGAGCAGAGGAATGCCAGGAGTGGAAGAATCTGCTCAGTGAATGCAGATGCACAGGGAAAAGCAGGGTCAGGCAAGGGCAGCTCCTCATCTGCTCCCGACTCTGAAAAGGCCTCCCCAGGCCTCGGGCCACTTACTGAGGGTGGCGTTCGCCTGCTCGTAGTTTTTACTGACTTCCCTCGTGTGAAGTCCGATGCTTGCGTTGCGCAGGGCCAGGGTGTCATAGATGCATGAGCTATCTCCGTCACAGTTGGAGATCAAATGTTCAGCCCAGGAGCTGTTTTTTTGCAGTTGTGAGTAGAAAACAGGGGTGAAGTTGGAAGGCAGCTGGTCATTCCTCTTGCCAAGGAGGCCTGTCCCGTTGATCTGCCCTGTAACACACAGAGCGCGGTGGTACCAGGCATGGCACTCAGCCTTATTCCATCTGTGTCCACCTCTACCCCTCACTTTAGATGGCTTGGAGCGGGGCGGTGGGAGTGCAGGGCCAGAGCGGTTTCCAGCTTCTGAGTCTAGAAACACCTGCTGCAGTGAGAGAGGACACTCCACGTCCCCCATTCTCTCCTCCAGGTAGAGAGAGGCAGGTGGGCTGGTGGTGGTGGGGACAGCCCTGGGGGGGCACAGATTCCTCAGACCTTAGGGAGGATGGAGGTCTGCTTCCTACAGGGCCGAGGGGGACGACATAAACATACCGGCTCCCCTCACCTGCCCCTCTGCCCCAGGACCCTGCCCAGACTCACAGGTCATTCCAAAGTGGAAAAGCATCTCCTCAGGGCTCCCTGGGGGAATGGTGGAGCCATTGGGCATCCTGAAGTCGTCCTCTGGATTGTTATTCCAGACCCCTGAGGGACAGAGTGGGAGGTTGGCCACCCTGGGCACGCGGCTGTCCCCTTCCTGGGGAGCATCCGGCGGACGCAGTGGGGAGAGGCCAGGGCCTGGCAGCCTCTGCTCTTGCACCTGCTGTCAGGCCTCCAGGGGAGCCGGGAGGACGGGCCCTCACACCCTGCCCGTCTGCCTTCGGGAGGGGCGGGAGGAAACGCGGGCAGCGGTGGAGGAGGGCGGGAGGATGTGGGAGGCAAGAGGAAAGGGAGAAAGGATGGCTGTGCCCCCCGCCTCCCCGCAGCCCCCCCTGATGCTCCCTTAGAGCGGGCGGAGGACAGGAAGGGAGCCTCGGGGGAGGCTGGAGAAGCCCCTCGGCTCCCGGCCCGCTCTGTGCCCCAAGGGTTCTGCTCCAAGGAGGCGGAGAAAGGGAGGCCGAGCAGGGCTGCCCGGGCCGCCGGCGTGGGGGTCCGAGCTCCGGCTGGCTCCGCGGAGCCTCAGAGGCAGGTCCGAGCCGCCCTCACCCAGGAGCCCCTCCGTGCGGTTCTGGTACTCGGGCGGGAGGCTGGCGGAGGCGTGGAGGATGTTGGAGAGCGCGATCACCGAGACGGTGGCCCAGCCGTCGAAGCTGGCCGAGACCTCAGAGCCGTTGCGGCTCAGGAGGACTCCGGTGGCGTTGAACGTCTCCTGGCCTGGAGCATCGGGAGGCAGCGGAGAGGAAGCCAGGTCGGCACCACGGCCCGCACCAAACCCGCGCCCTGCCGGGCCCGCACCACCCCCACCCCGCCCCTGGGGCTGAAGCCGGGAGGGGTCTGCACTGGAGGCGGAGAAGAGGCCGGCGAGCTGCACGCCCCGCTCGGGGGTAGAGGCTGCGCTCTCTTGGCCCTGCACCGCCACGCACCGGGCCCTGCACCGCCACGCACCGGGCCCGGCACCACAACGCACTCGGCCCTGCACCGCCACGCACCGGGCCCTGCACCGCAACGCACCCGGCCCTGCACCGCAACGCACCGGGCCCTGCACCGCCACGCACCCGGCCCTGCACCGCCACGCACCCGGCCCTGCACCGCCACGCACCGGGCCCTGCACCGCCACGCACCGGGCCCTGCACCACAACGCACCCGGCCCTGCACCGCAAAGCACTCGGCGCGGCACCGCCACGCGCCCGGCCCTGCACCACAACGCACCCGGCCCTGCACCGCCACGCGCCCGGCCCTGCACCGCAACGCGGCTTCCCGCCCACCTCGCTGCTCCCGGTGCGGGGAGGGGGCGGCCGGCGCTCCCCAACCTACCTCCGCCGTCTTCATGGTCAGGCTGAAATGTCACAGTCTGGTTATCCAGCAGGACACGGATTGCGTCGTGAGGCTCAAGGAGCCATTGGACCTGGAAGGAGATGGGAGGGGGCCTGAGCCCGACCCGCAGGTGGAGCCGACGCCCAGGAAAGCAGCTGGGAGAGCCCCTGGGGCTGGAAGCTGCGCCCTGGGCCGGGAGGAAGGCGCTGGAGGCCGCGGCCTGAGGTGATGCCAGCCGCCGTCTACCGTGTGCTCGGCAGGGCCAGGCATGGTTTTCGGATTATGCCCTTTAGCTCTTACAACAGCCCGTGAGGCAGGTAATGTCATCCCCATTCTTACTAGGAGAAAACCAAATTAAGTAGTTTCTTCGAAGCCAAGCAGCTGGGAAACCGTGGGGCCAGAGCCCTAATCCACCATCCCCAGGATTTACTCCGGGACAGCTGCGTGGATGGGCTGTGTCCTCCCTCCCTCCTGCCCGGCTTCCCCTCCTTCGCTCTCTTCCTTCTCCTCGGCCTCAGTATGTGGCTGAAGGTCCCTGTGGGTGGAATGCAGGGAGGTTCCCGGCACCCCTCACTCACCGTGACGGGGCCCAGGCTGCTGGAGCGGTACTGAGCCGCAAAGGCGATGAAGTTGGTGGCCTGGGCTGAGCCAGTCTGGGCGGTGCGGCCCTGAAGCAGGAAGGAGGAGTTCCCGTCTTGGGCCCCGACCAGCAGGAAGTCCCCCAGCCCATTGAAGGTGTAACTGACACCATCCAAGGTGGTGATGTGGGGGTCCCCGAACATCCAGGCTGGAAGGAAAAAAGAGATGCTGCCTCAGCATGACAAATCATGTGTAGGGCTGAGGTTCCTCACTGCAGTCAGGTGCGGCACTTGTCCAGGAGGACTCAGGGTGAGGTTCCTCACTGCAGTCGACTGGGGCACTTGTCCGGGCGGACTCAGCTGGGGAGATGTTCACAGAGCACAGAATCCTCCCCTCAAGCCTCCTTGCATTTTCGTGCCCCGCTATTCTCACTCCTTCCCCAACTCAGGTACAAAGCCCCTCCACTGACCATCCACCCATCACTGGCGTCATCTCCATCTTCCCTTGTGGCCACAGCTCTGCCCCTACTCCTTATCCAGATGCCACCTCCCGGAAGCCCAGAAGCTCCCCCTCCCCAGAGGCTCTTCCTGGGCCTGGGCCCTGTCGCTCACCGGGCTGTGGGGGCCTGTATGTAGCACAGCCCACGTGGGGCCGCCTCTGCTGGTACAGGGCACAGAGGTAGGGCTTGTCATTCCAGCGGCAGCACCAGCTCTGTGGCTCCAGTTCCTGGGCTGCGGAGAACAGCAGTGAGTCGGGGAGGTTGAGGACCTGGAGAAGCTTGGCAGGGCAGGGTGGTGTTGGTTGAGAGCTTGGCAGGGCAGGGCGGTGTTGGTGGAGAGCTTGGCAGGGCAGGGCGGTGTTGGTGGAGAGCTTGGCAGGGCAGGGCGGTGTTGGTGGAGAGCTTGGTAGGGCAGGGCGGTGTTGGTGGCAAGAGCATGGCTTTGGAATCCAGCATGGCCCTTCTCATGACCTTGGGCAGTGAATAGGGTGCTGTCTCTTTTGCAGGCATTGGGGCCACTGTGCAGCAGGGCGCATGGTAGGAGCTAAGCAAATTTCCTGTCTTGAGGGTGGAGAGCCAAGTACTGCTGCTCTCAACGTGCTGGGAGTGGGGAGGGCACGGCTGACGGTCTGGGAACTGTGGAAACTGCCATGGGACGGGGGAGAGAACGGGAGGACACAGACCACGTGACCCCACACCCCTGCGCTCTCCAGCTCCCTTGGAGCGTCTCTGTGGGAGCTGACTCTCAGTCTTCCCCCAAACATCCTGCTCATCTGGGTCTACAGGGACGGGGTCAGCCTAGGCGCTCTCTTCTTGCCTGGAGAAATGGCCCCACTCTGGCCTGGGGATGTGGAGCCAGGTATAGAGATGAGGAAAGAGGCTCTCAGCTCATACATCCCCGAATGTCCGCTGGTGGGGATGTTGGAAGCTTCCTAACGTTACCCGATCAGGAAGTGGAGGCCCAGAGAGGGGAAGGGTCTGGGAAGGAATGAGGACGAGAGGCTTCATGCTGAGGGTCCCCTACTTGGCCGGGAAGGTGGGGTTGAGATCACGGACTCACGCACCCAACTGCCAAGGACGCTGCACGTGCCAGCCTTCACGAAACTCTCCCCAGGGCCCGTAGCTGCAGCACACGCCTCCTCGCCAAGAGGTGAAGCTGCACAGCTGCCTACTGCCGAGGCCCCAGCGACCTGAAACAAGTCCAGTCCCACTCAGGCCCAGGCTGGGGCTGCCAGGGGCGGGGTGGGAACAAGCAGGGGCTGTTTCTGGGGAGAGGCTGAGGGCGTGAGCAGAGAGGGTGGTGGGTGGGCTTGTGGGGGGCGGGAAGGAGGTGTCACCTATGCTGACGGGTTGGAATCGTAAGTCCCGTCGTCCCTGCTGCCAGGAACAAGGGCAGGAGACCTGGTTCCAGCCCCAGCTGGGCCACCGAGGCTGGCTCTTCAGCCACTGCAGGCACTCGAGACGGTAGTTGGGCCTTTCTTCCCGGTGTAGCCTGTAGAACTGCAGCCCTTGGAGGCCTGAGGTCGGGGATGGGGGGGAAAGGGCTTATCCAGGGCTGGGGCTGCAGGCCCTGTCTCAGCTTTAGGGTCAACCAAAACTCACAAATGCACCCCCTCCTGCCACTTCTCACCTCTTTGGACCCAAGTCAGATGGGCAACAATTCCTCCCCCAAAGCCCCTCGCTTGACTTAGCGTCTGCTTCTGACGACCAAACGTGGTTGCCACAGAACAAATAGAACTGGATTTACACTTCACAGTTCACGTGGCTGGTTTCTAAGGCTAAAATGTCCTTCAACCTATCACATTTTGGAAACTATTATTTCTTTCCCATTGGGGCCTCTGGACTGAGTCATGGAGAAGGCGCCATTGTTTGCCTCTTGACGCTTGTCTTTCTACCCGCATGAAAGCTCTTTGAGAGAAAACACAGTTGGTCTTTTTCCTTTGTTTCTGGCTGTTAGCACGGTGTCCAGCACACGGCAGGTGCCCAGTAAATGATGACAATGAACGTGAGACCCCCGGGCCTCTTCTTGGTGGATTCTCTCTTTTTGAGATGGAGTCTCACTCTGTCACCCAGGCTGGAGTGCAGTGGCGCGATCTCGGCTCGCTGCAACCTCCACCTCCCAGGTTCAAACAATTCTCCTGCCTCAACCTATTGAGTAGCTGGAATTACAGGTGTGCACCACAACGTCTGGCTAATTTTTGTATTTTTAGTAGAGACAGAATTTCACCATGTTGGCCAGGCTGGTCTCGAACTCCTGATCTCAAGTGATCCGCCCACCTCAGCCTCCCAAAATGCTGGGATTACAGGTGTGAGCCATGGCGCCCAGCCGGTAGATTTTCTTAAAGGATCTCACCTGGGTTCTCATTCCTGCTCTGGACAGGACACTTGGAGTATTGTCTGAACTGCCCATTCAAATCCCACCTCCCACAAGACCCTGTCCTCACTTCCAGGATCTGGGCCCCCCGAGAGCCCTCTTGGGCTGGTTCATCTGAGGGAGGAGATGTAGCCCCCTCTGAGACTGTGCTGTGTCCAGGGGTGCAGGAGGTGCCAGCTGCTCCCTGGGTGGTGCCACATCCCACCTAGACCTGTAGGAGGTTGAACTGTGTGGGGGAGGCCCTTCAGGATGGCCGTGATGTTAGGGAGGTGCCCTCTAGGACTGCGATGGTGTATGGGCTGGAGGACACGCGAGGGCTTGAGACCAGCTCAGGTGTGATAAGGTGGCACTTTTACCTGAGTTGGAATTCAGGAATCTATCAGGGCGATACCTCTCCCACACTGGCTGGGACATCAGTGGGCTGTTTTCGAAATAGCCATCTCCACTGCAGGAAAGGAGAGACTCTCAGGCCTCTGCCGTGCACAGGCTCTTGCCTCGCGGTTGCAAGGCGTCCATTCATCCCGCTAGCCGGTCAGCAGCTGGTCAACCAGCTAGGCGGGCAGTGGGTCAGTGGGTCAGCCAGCCCCCATCGTCAAGCCCCAGCACTGAGCAGGAGAGGGGACAAGATGGCTGGGCAGAGGTAGGAGGCTCTAACCGATTCCACATCTGATCGCTAGCTGCAAGAAACTGGCAGGTCCGCTTGGTCATGAGACAGGGGCGTGAAAACAACAGAGTTCAGGCCTCATTTCTGTTTGTTTCCCTTCAACAAGCAGAGGGTTTGGAGCGGGACAGACTCTAGGGACAGTGTATTGTGATGGTTAAGACCCAGTTTCTGGAGTTAGGCAGTGATGGATTCAACTGCTGATCCCCCCACTTACTAGCTTGGTGACCACAGACAAGTTACTGACCCTCTCTGATTCTTAGTTTTCACATCTGTATAAAAGGGATTACAGTGGCATCTACCTCACTGTATTGTGAGGATTAAATGCAGTAACATCTGCAAATCCCTCAGAACTGAGTGAGGCCTTGATACAACAGATGCTGCCACTGCTGCTACCACCACCACCACCATCGCCAGCACTACCACCACCACCACCATCATCGTCACCACCAACACTACCATCACCATCACCATCACCACCACCACCACCAACACTACCACCACCATCACCATCACCACCACCATCACCATCACCACCACCATCACCATCACCACCACCATCGCCACCACCATCATCACCATCACCATTACCATTGCCACCACCATCACCACCACCATCACCACCACCACCATCATCACCATTGCCACCACCATCACCACCATCACCACCACCATCGCCACCACCACCACCACCACCATCACCATCACCACCATCACTGGCCACCCCCCAAAAAATACCACCATCGGCCACCACCACCATCACCACCACCATCACCATCGCCACCACCACCATCACCACCACCACCACCATCACCACCATCATTGCCACCACCATCATCACCACCATCACCACCACCACCACCATCACCACCACCACCATCGCCACCATCACCCCCAACACCACCACCATCACCACCATCACCACCACCATCACCACCATCACCATCGCCACTGCCACCTCCACCGCCACTACCACCACCACCACCACCACCACCACCACTATCGCCATCACCGTCCCCAGGTGTGGGGTCCGAGCATGGCCCGGGAAGGAGGAAAGCCTGGAGCAGCCGCCTGCAGCCCCACCCTGGGTGCCTGCTGCAGAGTGGGGACTCTTGGGCTTTTCCTCCTCCCTGACACAAGCAGGATGATGCACCCCTGCGTGACACCTTCCTTGGGTGTACCTGGACCGTGTGAAATTCCTAGAGTTGGGTAATTCCCCTCCTTTCTCCTTCATAGCACACCAAGAAACTAGTGAAAGCAGTGTAATCAAAGGGGTAACCTGAACACACTCAATGTAAGAGAAGACATTTGCAGCAATTATCAAGAACAAAAGACATGTGGCCTTCGTACTGATTGCCACACCCCAGCATATGGGAACAGAGATGGCGCACTGCTACATCGGAGACAGCCTCCCACACACGGGAATCCACATTTCAACCGCCCACAGCCCCGTGCCTCCTCTCTCCCTTCACCACCGGCTCCATATAAGCTTTTGGGTGCCCCCTGGATAAGTGGGTAATTCTCAGGAAGTCAGGAAGGCAGATTCTAGCCTCAGATGTCTGGGTTCAAATCTCCATGTTGCCACTTCCCAGCTCTGGGACTTTAGGCAAATTGCTAGTCTATTTGTATCTCAGTTTCCTGATCTGTAGAATGGGGATGATAAATAGTATCTGCCTCGTGGGGTGGCTGTGATCATGACATGCAGTAATGTACACGAAGTGTTAGTGTCATCAGTCTTGGCTGTTATTATCACGATATTTGAGAAGGTAAGAGAGGCCAGCTAATGTCAGTGGAAATCAGGGAAGCCAAAGCTCTGGGAATGATTACAACTCACGGGGACTGGGATGGGAAAGGGCATGGCGGACAAATGGGTGATCTTGTCGTGGGAAGCAGCCAGATGCCTGGCCCCAGCGGGAGCTGGAGTCAGCGTGAGTCAGAAGCACCAGCCAGGAGGGTTCCCGCCTTGCCCCAGGATGGGAGTGTGTGTGCAGCGAAAGCCGACTCTACACCCCTCCCTGCCAACTGCTCAGTGCTGACAGCCCCTCCCATCCTACCTAGAGAAGCCCATGAGCACCGGGTTGCCTGAGCGCTGGGCCACGTCCCACTGCATCCCACCGCTCTGGTAGAGAAACAGGGCATAGGACCTGCTCCCGTCCGTGGAGAGGATGGCTTGGTAGGTGTTGCTCTGGGGGTGGGTGGAAGAAAACACAGGGATGCCCGTGAGAGATCCGGGGTCTCCTCTCTTATGTCCCCCCGCCCGTCCCACAGCCCTGCTCTGACACGCACAGCACCTGTTCCTGGTCTGCCCACAGCAAAGACATGGGCCCAAAATGCTGGCAAGTTTTGGGTCAGTGAGGGCAGCTTTCACCCTGGGTGCGAACGCACTTACCACGGTGGATTTGCCTTTTGGTGACTTTCTTCCAGGAGGGGAGATAAAGGGTTCTGGGTTACAATTCAGTTAGATGAGTGTTTGTTAGAGAAAGCTACCAGAACCTGAGATCAGCCAAGATACCAGAGAGCTAGAGAGGAGGCTTCATTAGCTCCCGCGCGGATATTTAAGGACATTGCCCAAATTGTCTCCTCCATCTAAACAGCATGGATGACACTGGGGTTCACTGAAGGCGCACACGTTGTCCACAGTAGGTGACCAGTGAACTTTTGTCGAGTGAATGAAGAAATGAGTGACTTTAGACCAGGCATAAGGAAGAACTTGGTGACTACAAGAGCGGGGTCCTCGGAGGGAGGACAGAGGAGATGGTGTGGCGCACCCTGTGCCCGTTGGATGAGCCTGTGCTTCAGAGCCAGAGGCTGGAGTCAGAAGAAGCTCCACTCAGGCCTGGCTTTGCCATTTGCCAGTGGCGTGACTCTGAACGAGTTACTTAACCTCTCTAACCATTGTCTTCCTCATCTGTAAAATGGGGAGCATAATACCAGACTGAGCCACGTGAAATTGTGAATAGCCAGACATTTTTGACTTACAAAAATGCCACTTGCTATGTTTCAGCCTAATAATACCCGGTTTGCTGGGCTGCTGTGAGGTCAAGTAGGCAAAGGGCCGAGACAGGCCGGGCCCACGGTGAGTGCTCAGCCAACAGTGGTGGCAGTGGGGGGGTGGCGGTGGGGGGGCTTGCTATAATTAGCAATCTTTCCTAGAGCCAGAGAGGATTTTGGAAGAGTGGCCCCTGCCTAGGATTCTAGGATGTCTGACTCCCAGATAGCTCCTGGGAGCTGCCCAGGGGTCTACTCACCCCGAGGGTCCACTGGGCAGGATAGGCGTGGGCATTGACCCACGTGACCTTTAGGGCCCACCTGGCCTTGTAGCCCCCGTTGTTTGTCATCTTTCTAATCCAAGACTCGGCCTGCTGGACTAGCAGGCTGTGTTCACCATAGAACGTCTCGTATTCCTAGGAAAGGAGGGCAGATGAAAACAAGCCAACGAGGGTCCCACTCCTACACATGGGCCCCCCACTTTCTGCCTGAGGACCCTGCCCACTTCAGCCCACCCAATGGCCTGCCCTCCCCTGTCCCAGGCCTGCATTTTTGCCGTGAGCTTTTCTGAGGTGAAGTTCAATTCAAACTTGGGCTGCAGGAAGGCCTGCAGTGTGCAGAATGCAGGGTCGTGGCCCAGACGTCCAAGACCTCTGGACTTGAACTCAAGCATCTTAGCTCAAACTGGCCCAGAGAGCAGAGCCACTCGGGCCCACTTTTACCTCCCCATGCCTAATCTGCAGCTTCTTGAGAACAGGCGTGAGTCTCTTCCTCTTGGAGCCTCCACACTGCCCTGTCCGTGGCAGGGGCACGGTCCACACTTCCTGCAGTAGCTTTCATCACATTTCCTCTGATTGGAGTTATTCACCCAGTCCAGGAGCACAGGACGGGCCCTCTTGACTCACTCTTGTTAGGATAGACCCCCTACAGCCTGATTTTACAATCAAAGGCTGAATTGTCAGCCCCCATCCCCCGTCACCTGTAGGTCTTCTCGTGGCCGGGTTGGGGTATTCCTGGTCAGTCTCGCGGCCGGGTTGGGGTATTCCTGGTCAGTCTCGTGGTTGGGTTGGGGTATTCCTGGTCAGTCTCGTGGTTGGGTTGGGGTATTCCTGGTCAGTCTCGTGGCCGGGTTGGGGTATTCCTGGTCAGTCTCGTGGCCGGGTTGGGGTATTCCTGGTCAGTCTCGCGGCCGGGTTGGGGTATTCCTGGTCAGTCTCGTGGTTGGGTTGGGGTATTCCTGGTCAGTCTCGTGGTTGGGTTGGTGTATTCCTGGTCAGTCTCGTGGTTGGGTTGGGGTATTCCTGGTCAGTCTCGTGGTTGGGTTGGGGTATTCCTGGTCAGTCTCGTGGTTGGGTTGGGGTATTCCTGGTCAGTCTCGTGGTTGGGTTGGGGTATTCCTGGTCAGTCTCGTGGTTGGGTTGGGGTATTCCTGGTCAGTCTCGCGGCCGGGTTGGGGTATTCCTGGTCAGTCTCGTGGTTGGGTTGGGGTATTCCTGGTCAGTCTCGTGGTTGGGTTGGGGTACTCCTGAGTCAGCTTAATGTCCCTTGACTGCTTCCTCCCACACCCATATTTAAGCCTCAGTCCCCTGCTGCAGGGGCTGTCACAGCAGCAACTCTGGCAAAGCCTTCCACACAGCTCTTTGTCTCCCCTGCCAGCTGCTGGGGGATCCTGACTGCCAGGCTTTGAAAGGCTCACCTGATAAAATGTGGTCCCCCGACCAGTGGAGAAGTCAGCATCGTCCCAGAACGGAGCCACCAGGGCCACAGGGTCCCGGCCTGTGAAGCCTGTTGGGAGTGGGTTGGGGTAGGAGAAAATCTGGTAGTCTGACTCTGGGAAGATGATCTGGCCATTGTCTGTGAACTGAGCACATGGGTTTTGTGGTCAGCATTCAGGGAGGGAAGTGGGGAGGAAAGTCCCAGCCTTGGTCCAGCTCCTCAAAAGCGTGACCCCCAAGGGTAGAGCTTTAGAGATGCTAACAACCCCTGGAAGTCACCTCCTGTGTCCTGTTTTGGGGAGAGCCCTTTCCATATATTCTCACAGAATGCTCCGCCCTCAGGCCATCCCTTGCGTCCTCGGGTGGTAGGCTTGGTCCTGTTTCACTGCAGATCCCTGGCTGTGGACCAGCCCCTCACAGGCACACCCCTCTTGGCCAGTCCCCTGGGCCCCATCCTGAAGTTTGCGACACATTAGGTGGGGCTCAGGGAGTGGAACCCTCTCTCCATCGCTCAGGGGGTGGAGCCCTCCCTCCATCGCTCAGTGGGTGGAGCCCTCCCTCCGTCGCTCAGGGGTGTAGACACCCTCTCTCCATCGCTCAGGGGTGCAGACACCCCATCTCCATCACTTAGGGGGTGGAACCCTCTATCTATTGCTCAGCAGGTGTAGACACCCTCTCTCCATCGCTCAGGGGTGTAGACACCCTCCCTTCATCGCTCAGGGGTGTAGACACCCTCCCTTCATCGCTCAGGGGTGTAGACACCCTCCCTCCATCGCTCAGGGGTGTAGACACCCTCTCTCCATCGCTCAGGGGTGTAGACACCCTCCCTTCATCGCTCAGGGGTGTAGACACCCTCCCTTCATCGCTCAGGGGTGTAGACACCCTCTCTCCACCGCTCAGGGGTGTAGACACCCTCTCTCCATCGCTCAGGGGTGCAGACACCCCATCTCCATCACTTAGGGGGTGGAAACCTCTCTCTATCACTCAGCAGGTGTGGACACCCTCTCTCCATCCCTCAGGGGTGTAGACACCCTCCCTTCATCGCTCAGGGGTGTAGACATCCTCTCTCCATCGCTCAGGGGTGTAGACACCCCCTCTCCATCGCTCAGGGGTGTAGACACCCCCTCTCCATCGCTCAGGGGTGTAGACACCCTCTCTCCATCGCTCAGGGGTATAGACACCCTCCCTTCATCGCTCAGGGGTGCTCAGGGCTATAGACACCCTCCCTTCATCGCTCAGGGGTGTAGACACCCTCTCTCCATCGCTCAGGGGTGTAGATACCCTCTCTCCATCGCTCAGGGGTGTAGACACCCTCTCTCCATCGCTCAGGGGTGTGGACACCCTCTCTCCATCGCTCAGGGGTGTAGACACCCTCCCTTCATCGCTCAGGGGTGTGGACACCCTCTCTATCGTTCGGGGTGTAGACATCCTCTCTCCATCGCTCAGGGGTGTAGACACCCCCTCTCCATCGCTCAGGGGTGTAGACACCCTCTCTCCATCGCTCAGGGGTGCAGACACCCCATCTCCATCACTTAGGGGGTGGAAACCTCTCTCTATCACTCAGCAGGTGTAGATACCCTCTCTCCATCGCTCAGGGGTGCAGACACCCCATCTCCATCACTTAGGGGGTGGAAACCTCTCTCTATCGCTCAGCAGGTGTAGGCACCCCCCTCCATCGCTCAGGGGTGTAGACACCCTCTCTCCATCACTCAGGGGTGCAGACACCCCATCTCCATCACTTAGGGGGTGGAAACCTCTCTCTCACTCAGCAGGTGTGGACACCCTCTCTCCATCGCTCAGCAGGTGTGGACACCCTCTCTCTATCACTCAGCAGGTGTGGACACCCTCTCTCCATCGCTCAGCAGGTGTGGACACCCTCTCTCTATCGCTCAGCAGGTGTGGACACCCTCTCGCCATCGCTCAGCAGGTGTGGACACCCTCTCTCTATCGCTCAGCAGGTGTGGACACCCTCTCGCCATCGCTCAGCAGGTGTGGACACCCTCTCGCCATCGCTCAGCAGGTGTGGACACCCTCTCGCCATCGCTCAGCAGGTGTGGACACCCTCTCTCTATCGCTCAGCAGGTGTGGACACCCTCTCCATCGCTCAGTCGCCCTCTCATGCTGTGTTCGGACTCAGCCTCCTCCCTCAGGGCCACAGGAGCCAGGACTGTCCCTCCAACTCTGCTCCAGGAGGCAGGGACCAGGGGGCCAGAGACAAATCCCAGAAGGTGGAAACGGCAGGAACAGTCCAGTTTCCCAAGTGTAGCTTTTTACTCCTGAGAAGGCCCCGCAGAAGCAGCGGTGGGCCCAGCAGGTGGGCAGCCCTCGCCTGGCACCCTGTGTTCCTCAGGCAGAGGCCTGACATTAAGGAGGCTGTGGGGATGGACGAGGGGCCCAGCCAAGGCTGCTTCCATTCCCGCTTCCTCTGGGTTCCGTCTCGAAGCAGGAGAGAGAAGTGGGCCCTGGGAGTTCAGGCTGCGCGGGCCGCAGCCCGGACTCACGTAGAGGGAATCACGGAGAGAGGAGCCAAGGGGGAAGCCAGTCGCCGGCTTGAAGAGTGGGGAGGTGAAGTCCACGGTCCTCCTGACGAACTCCAGGTCCCCGGCGCCTGCCCCATAGGGGAAGAGGGAAACTCCTGGGCCAGGACAGAGAAGAGCAGGAAGTCCAAGTGGGCCTGGGCCTTCTTTAGGGCTGAAAGGGATCCCAGAGCGCTCCCTGCAGGCTGCCCACACCTGTCCTGTGTTCCCCGAGGGCCCCAGAGGCAGCCATCTAGGGTGCTTCTCGCTCCCTCTCCACCCACATTAAATGCATGTGGTCATTTTACTCCCTAAACTGCGCCTCTCATCCTTCCCCAGCTTGGAGAAAAACAGGTCCTGCTGTCAGAATACCAGCAAACGATTCTCAATCTCTTAGTCTCAATCCTTTTCAGGGTTAAAAGACAAAAGTCTATGCTGGGTGCGGTGGCTCACGCCTGTAATCCCAGCACTTTGGGAGGCTGAGGCGGGAGGATCACGAGGTCAGGAGTTCGAGACCAGCCTGACCAACATGGAGAAGCCCTGTCTCTACTTAAAATACAAAAATTAGCCGGGTGTGGTGGCGCATGCCTGTAATCCCAGCCACTCGGGAGGCTGAGGCAGGAGAATTGCTTGAACCCGGGAGGCTGAGGTTCCAGTGAGCTGAGATCGCGCCACTGCACTCCAGCCTGGGCAACAAGAGCGAAAACTCCATCTCAAAAAAAAAAAAAAAAATAGACAAAAGTCCAGCGCAATGAAGATGAGTAACTGCAAAGCCCTTTTCAGGGAATGAGACTTGTTTCCTAAGACGGCCTTTCTCCAGATAAACTTGAAGACTCCTCCAATTTAACCTAGGACTCCCTAGAGGCCCTCGGGCTCCAGTTTGAGAAACCTTGTCCCAAATATTTCTCGCAGCTGCCGACTCCTTGGCGCCCTCCCCTGGTCCTGCTTGGAAACCCGCAGGCTCTCCTGGCCTCCTCACTGCCTGCAAATCGGACCGCTCCAGGCACCACTTGTTAAATGCCATTTGTACAATGCAAAACTGAGTCCTCCCTGGCTCCCGTTGCCTACAGGATTCCCCGCATGCCGGCCGCACTTTTTGCTACCCTTCTTCTCATTTTCAGCCACCCCAAATGCTTCGGGGATCCACCCCCATGCAGCACCGGGACGACTTTCTGCAGCCATACCTACCACACTCGTACCTTCCACACCCATACCTTCCACACCCATACCTTCCACACCCATACCTTCCACACCCATACCTTCCACACCCATACCTTCCACAGTCATACCTTCCACACCCATACCTTCCACAGCCATACCTTCCACACCCATACCTTCCACACCCATACCTTCCACAGTCATACCTTCCACACCCATACCTTCCACACCCATACCTTCCACACCCATACCTTCCACACCCATACCTTCCACAGTCATACCTTCCACACCCATACCTTCCACAGTCATACCTTCCACACCCATACCTTCCACACCGATACCTTCCACACCCATACCTTCCACACCCATACCTTCCACATCCATACCTTCCACACCCTTACCTTCCACACCCATACCTTCCACACCCATACCTTCCACACCCTTACCTTCCACACCCATACCTTCCACGGCCATACCTTCCACGGTCATACCTTCCACACCCATACCTTCCACGGCCATACCTTCCACACCCATACCTTCCACACCCATACCTTCCACACCCATACCTTCCACACCCATACCTTCCACAGTCATACCTTCCACACCCATACCTTCCACACCCATACCTTCCACATCCATACCTTCCACAGTCATACCTTCCACACCCATACCTTCCACATCCATACCTTCCACGGCCATAACTTCCACACCCATACCTTCCACACCCTTACCTTCCACACCCATACCTTCCACACCCATACCTTCCACACCCTTACCTTCCACACCCATACCTTCCACAGCCATACCTTCCACACCCATACCTTCCACAGTCATACCTTCCACACCCATACCTTCCACACCCATACCTTCCACATCCATACCTTCCACACCCATACCTTCCACACCCATACCTTCCACACCCATACCTTCCACACCCATACCTTCCACACCCATACCTTCCACACCCATACCTTCCACAGTCATACCTTCCACACCCATACCTTCCACACCCATACCTTCCACAGCCATACCTTCCACACCCATACCTTCCACACCCATACCTTCCACACCCATACCTTCCACACCCATACCTTCCGCACCCATACCTTCCGCACCCATACCTTCCACACCCATACCTTCCGCATCCATACCTTCCACACCCATACCTTCCACACCCATACCTTCCGCACCCATACCTTCCACACCCATACCTTCCGCACCCATACCTTCCACACCCATACCTTCCACACCCATACCTTCCACACCCATACCTTCCACACCCATACCTTCCACAGTCATACCTTCCACACCCATACCTTCCACACCCATACCTTCCACACCCTTACCTTCCACACCCATACCTTCCACAGTCATACCTTCCACACCCATACCTTCCACACCCATACCTTCCACACCCATACCTTCCACACCCATACCTTCCACACCCATACCTTCCACACCCATACCTTCCACGGCCATACCTTCCACAGTCATACCTTCCACACCCATACCTTCCACACCCATACCTTCCACACCCATACCTTCCACACCCTTACCTTCCACACCCATACCTTCCACAGTCATACCTTCCACACCCATACCTTCCACAGTCATACCTTCCACACCCATACCTTCCACACCCATACCTTCCACATCCATACCTTCCACACCCATACCTTCCACACCCATACCTTCCACACCCATACCTTCCACACCCATACCTTCCACAGTCATACCTTCCACACCCATACCTTCCACAGTCATACCTTCCACACCCATACCTTCCACACCCATACCTTCCACATCCATACCTTCCACACCCATACCTTCCACACCCATACCTTCCACACCCATACCTTCCACAGTCATACCTTCCACACCCATACCTTCCACAGTCATACCTTCCACACCCATACCTTCCACACCCATACCTTCCACATCCATACCTTCCACACCCATACCTTCCACACCCATACCTTCCACACCCATACCTTCCACACCCTTACCTTCCACACCCATACCTTCCACACCCATACCTTCCACACCCATACCTTCCACACCCTTACCTTCCACACCCATACCTTCCACACCCATACCTTCCACACCCATACCTTCCACACCCATACCTTCCACACCCTTACCTTCCACACCCATACCTTCCACAGTCATACCTTCCACACCCATACCTTCCACAGTCATACCTTCCACACCCATACCTTCCACACCCATACCTTCCACACCCATACCTTCCACACCCATACCTTCCACACCCATACCTTCCACACCCATACCTTCCACAGTCATACCTTCCACACCCATACCTTCCACACCCATACCTTCCACATCCATACCTTCCACACCCATACCTTCCACACCCATACCTTCCACACCCATACCTTCCACACCCTTACCTTCCACACCCATACCTTCCACACCCATACCTTCCACACCCATACCTTCCACACCCATACCTTCCACACCCATACCTTCCACATCCATACCTTCCACACCCATACCTTCCACACCCATACCTTCCACACCCATACCTTCCACAGCCATACCTTCCACACCCATACCTTCCACACCCATACCTTCCACACCTTTGTTCCAGCTGTTCCCGCCCTCCTCCCTGCCTGGGGTGCTCCTCCATCCCCGGCTCTGCATTCCTTAGGGCCTTCCATTGTGTGCACTTAGACCCTGGGATGAGTCCTCTAACCGCCGCTACCGGACCGTCCATCTATCCCTTGCTGAATGGCACTGGGGTCATTTCTCTGTCTCCAGCTCCTGGCCCAGTGCCATGCACAAAGCCAGCCCTCAGGAGCGACTCCGATGCTGTGTCCCTGTCCTCGGTAAGGCCCTCCCCACCCGAGAGAGCGGAGACTGTGGGAAGTAGGCTGAGAGGGAGCCTTCAGTTACATCACCCCTCAAAAGGCACAGGCCTCACCTGTATGGCCTCACCTCTCTCAGGCAGGATGGGGATGGGGGCAGCTGTGGAGCGGGTGTGCATGGCAGTGCTGGGAATGGTGGAAATGATGGTCTGGGAGGTTGTGGGGGGTGGTGATGTGGCTGTGCGTCTCCCACCGTCTGTCTTCAGTGACGGTGTTGTCATTCCTGGACACGTGAAAAGACAAGGCGGGGTGTTTCTTACAGTAACAAAACAGGAGAGTCAAAGAGATTCAAAGAAATCAGGAGCTGGAAGAGGGAGCTGGAAACTCCTTGTCTCTCCCCTGCTCATATCCAAACTACTCTCGACATCAGTGCTTTTCGATTGCGGCACAAAGGAGGGTGAGCCTGTCACCCACCACACCCATCACCTCCTCCCCTGTGGGACCTGACACGGCCCCACCAGGTAATGCGAATGCACCAGTGTTCTCAGGTACTCCTTAGGCTGAATTCCGCCAAGGGGCCCACTGGGAGACATAAAGGCGAGGCAGTTGGCAGCTACCTGGTGTTTCCATCTTCAGAGGGGAGTCCGAGGATACTGTGGAAGCTGAGGTAGCACTGCTGACAGCAAGAGGGGTGGCGTGACCTGTGGATACTGAGGAAAGGCTGGTGACAGGAAGAGGGGTGGCGTGACCTGTGGATGCTGAGGAAGTGTCGGTGACAGGAAGAGGGGTGGCGTGACCTGTGGATGCTGAGGAAGTGTCGGTGACAGGAAGAGGGGTGGTGTCACCTGTGGATGCTGAGGAAGTGCTGGTGACAGGAAGAGGGGTGCCGTGACCTGTGGACACTGAGGAAGCGTCGGTGACAGGAAGAGAGGTGGTGTGACCTGAGGATGCTGAGGAAGGGATGGTGACAGGAAGAGGCGTGGTGTCACCTGTGGATACTGAGGAAAGGCTGGTGACAGGAAGAGGGGTGGCCTGACCTGTGGATGCAGAGGAAGTGTCGGTGACAGGAAGAGGCGTGGTGTCACCTGTGGATACTGAGGAAAGGCTGGTGAGAGGAAGAGGGGTGGCGTGACCGGTGGATGCTGAGGAAGCATCGGTGACAGGAAGAGTGCTGGTGTCACCTCTGGATGCTGAGGAAGGGCTGGTGACATGAAGAGGGGTGGCGTGACCTGTGGATAATGAGGAAGCATTGGTGACAGGAAGAGGGGTGGTGTCACCTGTGGATGCTGAGGAAGTGCTGGTGACAGGAACAGGGGTGGCGTGACCTGTGGATGCTGAGGAAGGGCTGGTGACAGGAAGAGGGGTGGCGTGACCTGTAGATACTGAGGAAGTGCTGGTGACAGGAAGAGGGGTGGCGTGACCTGTGGATACTGAGGAAGTGTCGGTGACAGGAAGGGGGGTGGCGTGACCTGTGGATGCTGAGGAACGGCTGGTGACAGGAAGAGAGGTGGCGTGACCTGTGGATACTGAGGAAGTGTCGGTGACAGGAAGAGGGGTGGTGTCACCTGTGGATGCTGAGGAAGTGCTGGTGACAGGAAGAGGGGTGGCATGTCCTGTGGATGCCGAGGAAACGTCGGTGACAGGAAGACGGGTGGTGTCATCTGTGGAAGCTGAGGAAGTGTCGGTGACAGGAAGAGGGGTGGCGTGACGTGTGGATGCTGAGGAAGTGTCGGTGACAGGAAGAGGGGTGGTGTCACCTGTGGAAGCTGAGGAAAGGCCGGTAACAGGAAGAGGGGTGGCGTGACCTGTGGATGCTGAGGAAGGGCTAGTGACAGGAAGAGGCATGGTGTCACCTGTGGATACTGAGGAAGGGATGGTGACAGGAAGAGGGGTGGCGTGACCTGTGGATGCTGAGGAAGCGTCGGTGACAGGAAGAGGGGTGGTGTCACCTGTGGATACTGAGGAAAGGCTGGTGACAGGAAGAGGGGTGGCCTGACCTGTGGATGCTGAGGAAGTGTCGGTGACAGGAAGAGGGGTGGTGTCACCTGTGGATGCTGAGGAAGCGTCGGTGACAGGAAGAGGCGTGGCGTGACCTGTGGACACTGAGGAAGCGTCGGTGACAAGAAGAGGGGTGGCGTGACCTGTGGATGCTGAGGAAGTGCTGGTGACAGGAAGAGGGGTGACGTGACCTGTGGATGCTGAGGAAGGGCTGGTGACATGAAGAGGGGTGACGTGACCTGTAGATACTGAGGAAGTGCTGGTGACAGGAAGAGGGGTGGTGTGACCTGAGGATGATGAGGAAGGGATGGTGACAGGAAGAGGGGTGGCCTGACCTGTGGATGCTGAGGAAGTGTCCGTGACAGGAAGACGGGTGGTGTCACCTGTGGATGCTGAGGAAGTGTCGGTGACAGGAAGAGGGGTGGCGTGACCTGTGGATACTGAGGAAGCGTCGGTGACAAGAAGAGGGGTGGTGTCACCTGTGGATACTGAGGAAAGGCTGGTGACAGGAAGAGGGGTGGCCTGACCTGTGGATGCTGAGGAAGTGTCCGTGACAGGAAGACGGGTGGTGTCACCTGTGGATGCTGAGGAAGTGTCGGTGACAGGAAGAGGGGTGGCGTGACCTGTGGATACTGAGGAAGCGTCGGTGACAAGAAGAGGGGTGGTGTCACCTGTGGATACTGAGGAAAGGCTGGTGACAGGAAGAGGGGTGGCCTGACCTGTGGATGCCGAGGAAGCGTCGGTGACAGGAAGAGGGGTGGTGTCACCTGTGGATACTGAGGAAAGGCTGGTGACAGGAAGAGGCGTGGCGTGACCGGTGGATACTGAGGAAGTGTCGGTGACAGGAAGAGGGGTGGCGTGACCGGTGGATGCTGAGGAAGCGCCGGTGACAGGAAGAGTGCTGGTGTCACCTGTGGATGCTGAGGAAGGGATGGTGACATGAAGAGGGGTGGTGTGACCTGTAGATGCTGAGGAAGGGCTGGTGACAGGAAGAGGGGTGGTGTCACCTGTGGATGCTGAGGAAGTGTCGGTGACAGGAAGAGGGGTGGTGTGACCTGTAGATGCTGAGGAAGTGCTGGTGACAGGAACAGGGGTGGCGTGACCGGTGGATGCTGAGGAAGTGCTGGTGACAGGAAGAGGGGTGGCGTGACCTGTGGATGCTGAGGAAGGGCTAGTGACAGGAAGAGGCATGGTGTCACCTGTGGATACTGAGGAAGTGTTGGTGACAGGAAGAGGGGTGGCCTGACCTGTGGATGCCGAGGAAATGTCGGTGACAGGAAGACGGGTGGTGTCACCTGTGGAAGCTGAGGAAAGGCCGGTGACAGGAAGAGGGGTGGCGTGACCTGTGGATACTGAGGAAGTGTCGGTGACAGGCACAGGGGTGGTGTCACCTGTGGATGCTGAGGAAGGGCTGGTGACATGAAGAGGGGTGGCGTGACCTGTGGATGCTGAGGAAGCGTCGGTGACAAGAAGAGGAGTGGCGTGACCTGTGGATACTGAGGAAGTCTCGGTGACAAGAAGAGGGGTGGTGTCACCTGTGGATGATGAGGAAGTGTCGGTGACAGGAAGAGAGGTGGTGTCACCTGTGTATGCTGAGGAAGTGTCGGTGACAGGAAGAGAGGTGGTGTCACCTGTGGATGCTGAGGAAGTGTCGGTGACAGGAAGAGAGGTGGCATGACCGGTGGATGCTGAGGAAGGGCTAGTGACAGGAAGAGGCGTGGTGTCACCTGTGGATACTGAGGAAAGGCTGGTGACAGGAAGAGGGGTGGCCTGACCTGTGGATGCTGAGGAAGCGTCGGTGACAAGAAGAGGAGTGGCGTGACCTGTGGATGCTGAGGAAGGGCTAGTGACAGGAAGAGGCGTGGTGTCACCTGTGGATACTGAGGAAAGGCTGGTGACAGGAAGAGGGGTGGCCTGACCTGTGGATGCTGAGGAAGTGTCGGTGACAGGAAGAGGGGTGGTGTCACCTGTGGATGCTGAGGAAGTGCTGGTGACAGGAAGAGCGGTGGCCTGACCTGTGGATGCTGAGGAAGTGTCGGTGACAGGAAGAGGGGTGGTGTGACCTGTGGATGCTGAGGAAGGGCTAGTGACAGGAAGAGGCGTGGTGTCACCTGTGGATACTGAGGAAAGGCTGGTGACAGGAAGAGGGGTGGCGTGACCTGTGGATGCTGAGGAAGTGTCGGTGACAGGAAGCGGGGTGGCGTGACCGGTGGATGCTGAGGAAGGGCTGGTGACATGAAGAGGGTTGGCGTGACCTGTGGATGCTGAGGAAGTGTCGGTGACAGGAAGCGGGGTGGCGTGACCGGTGGATGCTGAGGAAGGGCTGGTGACATGAAGAGGGGTGGCGTGACCTGTGGATATTGAGGAAGTGTCGGTGACAGGAAGAGAGGTGGCGTGACCTATGGATGCTGAGGAAGTGTCGGTGACAGGAAGAAGGGTGGCGTGACCTGTGGATGCTGAGGAAGTGTCGGTGTCAGGAAGAGGGGTGGCGTGACCTGTGGATGCTGAGGAAGTGTCGGTGACAGGAAGAGAGGTGGCGTGACCTGTGGATGCTGAGGAAGTGTCGGTGACAGGAAGAGGGGTGGTGTCACCTGTGGATACTGAGGAAAGGCTGGTGACAGGAAGAGGGGTGGCCTGACCTGTGGATGCTGAGGAAGTGTCGGTGACAGGAAGAGGCGTGGTGTCACCTGTGGATACTGAGGAAAGGCTGGTGAGAGGAAGAGGGGTAGCGTGACCTGTGGACACTGAGGAAGCGTCGGTGACAGGAAGAGGGGTGGCATGACCTGTGGACACTGAGGAAGCGTCGGTGACAGGAAGAGAGGTGGCGTGACCTGTGGACACTGAGGAAGCGTCGGTGACAGGAAGAGGGGTGGTGTGACCTGAGGATGCTGAGGAAGGGATGGTGACAGGAAGAGAGGTGGCATGACCTGTGAACACTGAGGAAGCGTCGGTGACAGGAAGAGAGGTGGCGTGACCTGTGGACACTGACGAAGCGTCGGTGACAGGAAGAGGGGTGGTGTGACCTGTGGATGCTGAGGAAGGGCTGGTGACATGAAGAGGGGTGGCGTGACCTGTGGATACTGAGGAAGTGTTGGTGACAGGAAGAGGGGTGGCGTGACCTGTGGATGCTGAGGAAGTGTCGGTGACAGGAAGAGGGGTGGTGTCACCTGTGGATACTGAGGAAGTCTCGGTGACAAGAAGAGGGGTGGTGTCACCTGTGGATGATGAGGAAGTGTCGGTGACAGGAAGAGAGGTGGTGTCACCTGTGTATGCTGAGGAAGTGTCGGTGACAGGAAGAGAGGTGGTGTCACCTGTGGATGCTGAGGAAGTGTCGGTGACAGGAAGAGAGGTGGCATGACCGGTGGATGCTGAGGAAGGGCTAGTGACAGGAAGAGGCGTGGTGTCACCTGTGGATACTGAGGAAAGGCTGGTGACAGGAAGAGGGGTGGCCTGACCTGTGGATGCTGAGGAAGCGTCGGTGACAAGAAGAGGAGTGGCGTGACCTGTGGATGCTGAGGAAGGGCTAGTGACAGGAAGAGGCGTGGTGTCACCTGTGGATACTGAGGAAAGGCTGGTGACAGGAAGAGGGGTGGCCTGACCTGTGGATGCTGAGTAAGTGTCGGTGACAGGAAGAGGGGTGGTGTCACCTGTGGATGCTGAGGAAGTGCTGGTGACAGGAAGAGGGGTGGCGTGACCTGTGGATGCTGCGGAAGTGTCGGTGACAGGAAGAGAGGTGGCGTGACCTGTGGATGCTGAGGAAGGGCTGGTGACATGAAGAGAGGTGGCGTGACGTGTGGATAATGAGGAAGCATTGGTGACAGGAAGAGGGGTGGTGTCACCTGTGGATGCTGAGGGAGTGTCGGTGACAGGTAGAGGGGTGGTGTGACCTGTAGATGCTGAGGAAGGGCTGGTGACAGGAAGACGGGTGGTGTCACCTGTGGATACTGACGAAGCGTCGGTGACAAGAAGAGGGGTGGTGTGACCTGTGGATACTGAGGAAGTGTCGGTGCCAGGAAGAGGGGTGGTGTCACCTGTGGATGCTGAGGAAGTGCTGGTGACAGGAAGAGGGGTGGCATGACCTGTGGATGCCGAGGAAACGTTGGTGACAGGAAGACGGGTGGTGTCACCTGTGGAAGCTGAGGAAAGGCCGGTGACAGGAAGATGGGTGGCGTGACCTGTGGATGCTGAGGAAGTGTCGGTGACAGGAAGAGGGGTGGTGTCACCTGTGGATGCTGAGGAAGCGTCGGTGACAGGAAGAGGGGTGGTGTGACCTGAGGATGCTGAGGAAGAGCTGGTGACAGGAAGAGGGGTGGTGTCACCTGTGGATACTGAGGAAGCGTCGGTGACATGAAGAGGGGTGGCGTGACCTGTGGATGCTGAGGAAGGGCTAGTGACAGGAAGAGGCGTGGTGTCACCTGTGGATGCTGAGGAAAGGCTGGTGACAGGAAGAGGGGTGGCGTGACCTGTGGATGCTGAGGAAGCGTCGGTGACATGAAGAGGGGTGGCGTGACCTGTGGATGCTGAGGAAGGGCTAGTGACAGGAAGAGGAGTGGTGTCACCTGTGGATACTGAGGAAAGGCTGGTGACAGGAAGAGAGGTGGCGTGACCTGTGGACACTGAGGAAGCGTCGGTGACAGGAAGAGGGGTGGTGTCACCTGTGGATGCTGAGGAAAGGCTGGTGACAGGAAGAGGGGTGGCCTGTCCTGTGGATGCTGAGGAAGTGTCGGTGACAAGAAGAGGGATGGCGTGACCTGTGGATGCTGAGGAAGGGCTGGTGACAGGAAGAGGGGTGGCCTGACCTGTGGATGCTGAGGAAGTGTCGGTGACAGGAAGAGGGGTGGCGTGACCTGTGGATGCTGAGGAAGTGTCGGTGACAGGAAGAGAGGTGGCGTGACCTGTGGATGCTGAGGAAGTGTCGGTGACAGGAAGAGAGGTGGCGTGACCTGTGGATACTGAGGAAGTTTCGGTGACAGGAAGAGGGGTGGTGTCACCTGTGGATGTTGAGGAAGGGCTGGTGACAGGAAGAGGGGTGGTGTCCCCTGTGGATAATGAGGAAGCATCGGTGTCATGAAGAGCGGTGGCGTGACCTGTGGATACTGAGGAAGCGTCGGTGACAAGAAGAGAGGTGGCGTGACCTGTGGATATTGAGGAAGCGTCGGTGACAAGAAGAGGGGTGGCGTGACCTGTGGATGCTGAGGAAGGGTTAGTGACAGGAAGAGGCGTGGTGTCACCTGTGGATACTGAGGAAAGGCTGGTGACAGGAAGAGGGGTGTCCTGACCTGTGGATGCTGAGGAAGTATCGGTGACAGGAAGCGGCGTGGTGTCACCAGTGGATGCTGAGGAAAGGCTGGTGACAGGAAGAGGGGTGGCCTGTCCTGTAGATACTGAGGAAGTGTCGGTGACCGGAAGAGGGGTGGCATGACCTGTGGACACTGAGGAAGCGTCGGTGACAGGAAGAGGGGTGGCGTGACCTGTGGACACTGAGGAAGCGTCGGTGACAGGAAGAGAGGTGGCGTGACCTGTGGGTACTGAGGAAGCGTCGGTGACAGGAAGAGGGGTGGTGTGACCTGAGGATGCTGAGGAAGGGCTAGTGACAGGAAGAGGCGTGGTGTCACCTGTGGATGCTGAGGAAAGGCTGGTGACAGGAAGAGAGGTGGCGTGACCTGTGGATACTGAGGAAGCGTCGGTGACATGAAGAGGGGTGGTGTCACCTGTGGATGCTGAGTTAGTGTCGGTGACAGGAAGAGGGGTGGTGTCACCTGTGGATACTGAGGAAGCGTCGGTGACAAGAAGAGAGGTGGCGTGACCTGTGGACACTGAGGAAGCGTCGGTGACAGGAAGAGAGGTGGTGTGACCTGAAGATGCTGAGGAAGGGATGGTGACAGGAAGAGAGGTGGTGTCACCTGTGGATGCTGAGGAAGCGTCGGTGACAGGAAGAGGGGTGGTGTCACCTGTGGATGCTGAGGAAGGGCTGGTGACAGGAAGAGGGATGGCCTGACCTGTGGATGCCGAGGAAACGTCGGTGACAGGAAGACGGGTGGTGTCATCTGTGGAAGCTGAAGAAAGGCCGGTGACAGGAAGTGGGGTGGCGTGAGCTGTGGATACTGAGGAAGTGTCGGTGACAGGAAGAGGGGTGGCCTGACCTGTGGATGCTGAGGAAGCGTCAGTGACAAGAAGAGGGCTGGCGTGACCTGTGGATGCTGAGGAAGGGCTAGTGACAGGAAGAGGCGTGGTGTCACCTGTGGATACTGAGGAAAGGCTGGTGACAGGAAGAGGGGTGGCCTGACCTGTGGATGCCGAGGAAACGTCGGTGACAGGAAGACGGGTGGTGTCATCTGTGGTAGCTGAGGAAAGGCCGGTGACAGGAAGAGGGGTGGCGTGACCGGTGGATGCTGAGGAAGTGCTGGTGACAGGAAGAGGGGTGGCGTGACCTGTGGATGCTGAGGAAGGGCTGGTGACATGAAGAGGGGTGGCGTGACCTGTGGATAATGAGGAAGCATTGGTGACAGGAAGAGGGGTGGTGTCACCTGTGGATGCTGAGGAAGTGTCGGTGACAGGAAGAGGGGTGGTGTGACCTGTAGATGCTGAGGAAGGGCTGGTGACAGGAAGAGGGGTGGTGTCACCTTTGGATGCTGAGGAAGTGTCGGTGACAGGAAGAGGGGTGGTGTGACCTGTAGATGCTGAGGAAGGGCTGGTGACAGGAAGAGGGGTGGTGTGACCTGTGGATACTGAGGAAGCGTCGGTGACAGGAAGAGGGGTGGTGTCACCTGTGGATGCTGAGGAAGGGCTAGTGACAGGAAGAGGCATGGTGTCACCTGTGGATGCTGAGGAAAGGCTGGTGACAGGAAGAGGGGTGGCGTGACCTGTGGATGCTGAGGAAGGGCTGGTGACATGAAGAGGAGTGACGTGACCTGTGGATGCTGAGGAAGTGCTAGTGACAGGAAGAGGCGTGGTGTCACCTGTGGATACTGAGGAAGTGTCGGTGACAAGAAGAGAGGTGGCCTGACCTGTGGATGCTGAGGAAGTGTCGGTGACAGGAAGAGGGGTGGTGTGACCTGTGGATGCTGCGGAAGGGATGGTTACAGGAAGAGAGGTGGCGTGATCTGTGGACACTGAGGAAGCGTCGGTGACAGGAAGAGGGGTGGCGTGTCCTGTGGATGCTGAGGAAGTGTCGGTGACAAGAAGAGGGGTGGCGTGACCTGTGGATGCTGAGGAAGGGCTAGTGACAGGAAGAGGCGTGGTGTCACCTGTGGATACTGAGGAAAGGCTGGTGACAGGAAGAGGGGTGGCCTGACCTGTGGATGCTGAGGAAGCATCAGTGACATGAAGAGGGGTGGTGTGACCTGTGGATACTGAGGAAGCGTCGGTGACAGGAAGAGGGGTGGTGTCACCTGTGGATGCTGAGGAAGGGCTAGTGACAGGAAGAGGCATGGTGTCACCTGTGGATGCTGAGGAAAGGCTGGTGACAGGAAGAGGGGTGGCGTGACCTGTGGATGCTGAGGAAGGGCTGGTGACATGAAGAGGAGTGACGTGACCTGTGGATGCTGAGGAAGTGCTAGTGACAGGAAGAGGCGTGGTGTCACCTGTGGATACTGAGGAAGTGTCGGTGACAAGAAGAGAGGTGGCCTGACCTGTGGATGCTGAGGAAGTGTCGGTGACAGGAAGAGGGGTGGTGTGACCTGTGGATGCTGCGGAAGGGATGGTTACAGGAAGAGAGGTGGCGTGATCTGTGGACACTGAGGAAGCGTCGGTGACAGGAAGAGGGGTGGCGTGTCCTGTGGATGCTGAGGAAGTGTCGGTGACAAGAAGAGGGGTGGCGTGACCTGTGGATGCTGAGGAAGGGCTAGTGACAGGAAGAGGCGTGGTGTCACCTGTGGATACTGAGGAAAGGCTGGTGACAGGAAGAGGGGTGGCCTGACCTGTGGATGCTGAGGAAGCATCAGTGACATGAAGAGGGGTGGTGTGACCTGTGGATACTGAGGAAGTGTCGGTGACAGGAAGAGAGGTGGCGTGACCTGTGGATGCTGAGGAAGTGTCGGTGACAGGAAGAGGGGTGGTGTGACCTGTGGATACTGAGGAAGTGTCGGTGACAGGAAGAGAGGTGGCGTGACCTGTGGATGCTGAGGAAGTGTCAGTGACAGGAAGAGGGGTGGTGTCACCTGTGGATGCTGAGGAAAGGCTGGTGACAGGAAGAGGGGTGACGTGACCTGTGGATGCTGAGGAAGTGTCAGTGACAGGAAGAGGGGTGCTGTCACCTGTGGATGCTGAGGAAAAGCTGGTGACAGGAAGAGGGGTGACGTGACCTGTGGATTCTGAGGAAGTGTCGGTGACAGGAAGAGGGGTGGTGTGACCTGTGGATACTGAGGAAGGGCTGGTGACAGGAAGAGGGGTGGCGTGACCTGTGGATACTGAGGAAGCATCGGTGACATGAAGAGGGGTGGTGTGACCTGTGGATGCCGAGGAAGCGTAGGTGACAGGAAGAGGGGTGGCGTTGCTGATGAGGGCCGTGGTGAAGGTTTTACCAGACCCTGAAGGTGACAGAGTGTGGGTCTCGGTTTGTGGAGATGTAAGCCCAGTGGATGTGATCGATGGAGGTGTGGGTGGGACTGTTGAGAAGGTGTCGGTTGCCTGGGACGCCAGGCTGATAGTGTCAGACCCTCTGCTGGTTCTTGTCCTCTGAGTCTGGGCCATCCGGGAAATGGCGGCTGTCTCCTGAGGAGAGGCACTGGGAGAAGTTGGGCTTGACTGTCCTGTCGGTCTCCCTGCAGTGGAGGCCTCAGAGAGGGTGGGATGAAAGGTGCCGGGGACGATCGAAGACGCCATTCCTGTGCTTACTGGGATGGCACCATGACTGGCTGAGGCGGACAGCAATTCGGTTGTTGACTGGGTTGTGTGACTGTCCCTGGAGGGGTTTGATGAAAACCTTGTCGTCTCTCCTGAGGTGGATATTCCTTCGCTTCCTGAAGGTGTTGTGCCACTCGCCCCGGATGAGGAAGGGGTAGCTGTGCCCGCTGAGGTGGTTCGTGACCCTGAGGAGGCCGGTTCGCTGGTCTGTGTTTGTCCAGAGGCCTCTGTGCTCTCAGCCTGGTGGGTATGGGTCATGGCTGCTGCTGTGTCAGGTGAGGTGCTGGCAGAGGCTGATGTCCATTGTCCTTCTGGGCCCCCTGGTGTTGACACTACAGAGTTGGCCAGAGTAAGGGCACCTGTTTTGGAAAGTGACGTGCCTCCTGAGGGCCCCAGGGTGGCATCATGGCTGCTGGGTGCTGCCTGCAGTGCTGTGGTCGGGGCCTGGGTTGTGTGACCATCCCCGGTGGGAGCTGGGGCAAAGGTTGTTGCTGCACTTATGGTGGGTGCGTCCTGAGGAACAATTTCTGAGGGCGAGTGCCCACTGGCTGTGAAGGAAGAACCTGGGGTGGTGACTGTCTTGGTGTCAGTCATGGGGGAGACGGACCTCGTGGTTTGTGATTCTTGTGTGGTCTGCGGGGCTTGAGTGTGACCCCTTTGGGAAACAGCTGGTGATTCCTGAGGAGAGGTGCTTGTGGAATGTATTGTTGAATGATTTGTTGATGGTGCCGTTGTAATTTGTTGGGATGTGTGTCTATCCAGCATAGGTGAAGAAGATGGGGATGTGGCCGTTTTTATCATCTGAGTCACACTGTAGCTTGGGCTGCTGAGAAGAGCCTCTCCAGTGGTCCCCGTTTCTTGTGTCCATTGTGTCTGGGCGCCTGCCCCTGTTGTTTTTGGGAGAGTTGTGCTGTGGGAGGAGTATGTGGTGGGCTCTCCTGGTTCCCCTATTGCTGAGACCTTAGAGGGGACCCTTGGAATAGTGCCAGCTGTCCCTGTAGATGGATTTCCTGTGACAAGCCTAGTGGCAGCACCTGTTGATGTTGAGGGCAGTTCTGTTTGTGACCAAGTTGTGTGGCCTTTGCTGGAGAATGAGGAAGGCCATGTTGTTGTTTCATGTAGAGTAAATATTTCTTGAGACACACCTGGAGAGAATGAGCTCCTCTCATGAGGCCGTCCTGTGGTCTCTGCACCTTCACTCTGCTGGGTGTGGAAAGCTGTGGATATTTTTGGAGGTAGAGAACTGGGGGAGAGTGCTGTTGACAGAGTGTCTGACCACCATATGGTTGAAACTTTGGAAGTGATTGCAGAAATGGTTCCACTTACAGATAGTGATGTCTCCTCTGTGTTTCCAAGAGTAGAGTCTCTGGAGGTTGGCATTCTGAACACCTTTGATGTTACCAGGAATGTATTGCTGACACTGGAAGGGGATGAGGTGGTTGTTTCACCAGAAGGGAATGTCTCCTGAGAAACTGTTCCACTTGGGTTGAATCCACTTGGTGAGGATAAAACAGTTGATGTTGTAACCGGTGTGAGGGTGTTGAGGGTGTTGATTTGAGATACTCTGGTGGTCTCCACGCTCTGAGTCTGGTGGTTCTTAGAAAAAGCTGTTGTGTCCTGAGTAGAAGTCCTTGAGAAAGTTGCTGGTGATTGTCCTTCTGGATCAAATGTTACTAAGGCTGCTGAGGTGACTGGCATAAGACTTCCAGTAACAGGTACTGATGATGTCTCCCCTGGGTTTCCAAGAGTGGAGCCTGTGGAGGTTGTCACTGTTATCTTCTCTGATGTCATCATGGATGTGTTTGTGACACTACAGAGGGATGAGGTAGCTGTTTCACCTGAAGGAGATGTCTTCTGAGAAACAGTCCCTGTCACATTGTGTACACTTGGAGAGAAAGAAGGAGTTGAAGTGGTTCTGTGTGTTAGGGTGCTGGTTTGAGATTCCCTGGTGGTCTGCGTGCTCCGAGTCCAGTGGTTCTGAGAAGAAGCTGATGTGTCTTGGATAGAGGTCCTCCAGGAAGTTGTTCGTGATTGTCCTTCCTGTCCAGCTGTTATTGAGACTGCTGAGGTCACTGGGGTAGAACTTTCAGTTCCTGCTGTTGATGTCTCTTCTGTGTTTCCAAGAGTGGAGTCTGTGGAGGTTGTCATTGTTATAGTCTTTGATGTCATCATGAGTGTGTTGGTGACACTGGAGGGAAATGATGTGGTCATTTCATCTGGAGGAGCTGTCTCCATCACATTGTGTACACTTGGGGAAGAAAAAAGAGTTGATGTCATCATCTGCGTGAGGGTGTCGGTTTGAGCTTTGCTGGTGGTCTCCGTGCTCTTAGTCTGGTGGTTCTGAGATGAAGCTGATATGTCCTGATTAGAGGTCCTTGAAGAAGCTGCAGTTGATTGTCCCTCTAGTGTCGCTGTTGTTGAGCCTGTTGAGGTGACTGGGGCAGCAGTTTTACTTCCAGTTATTAATGTGTCCTCTGTGGTTCCTGGAGTGAACCAAAATAGGCAAGCAGAGAGCTAAATCATGAATGAACTCCTATTCACAATTGCTACAAATAGAATAAAATACCTAGGAATACAGCTAACAAAGGATGTGAAAACTACCATTCTTCACAGAATGAGAACAAACTACTTTAAAATTCATATGGAATCAAAAAAGAACCCAAATAGCCAAGACAATCCTAAGCAAAAAGAACAAAGTGGGAGGCTACCTGACTTCAAACTATACTACAAGGCTACAGTAACCAAAACAGCATGGTACTGGTACCAAAACTGACATATAAACCAATGGAACAGAATAGATACCTTGGAAATAAGACCACACATCTACAACCATCTGATCTTTGACAAACCTGACAAAAGCAGGCAATGGGGAAAGGATTCTCTATTCAATAAATGGTGCTGGGAAAACTGGTTAGCCATATGCAGAAAACTGAAACTGGACCCCTTCCTTACACCTTATACAAAAATTAACTCAAGGCAGGTTAAAGACTTACATGTAAAACCCCAAACCATGAAAACCCTAGAAGAAAACCTAGGCAATACCATTCAGGACATAGACATAGGCAAAGATTTTATGATGAAATCTCCAAAAGCACTTGCAACAAAAGCTAAAATTGACAAATGGGATCTAATTAAACTAAAGAGCTCTGCACAGCAAAAGAAACTATCATCAGAGCAAACAGGCAACCTACAAAATGAGAAAATTTTTGCAATCTAACCATCTGACAGAGGTCTAATATCCAGAATTTACAAGGAACTTAAATTTACAAGAAAAAAATAAACAACCCCATCAAAAAGCAGGCAAAGGATATGAACAGACACTTATCAAAAGAAGACATTTATGCCACCAACAAACATATGAAAAAAGGCTCATCATCATGGATCATTAGAGAAATGCAAATCAAAACTACAAAGGGATATCATCTCACACCACTCAGAATGGCAATTATTAAAAAGTCAAGAAACAGCAGATGCTGGCAAGGCTGTGGTGAAATAGGAACGCTTTTACACTGTTGGTGGGAGTGTAAATCAGTTCAACCATTGTGGAAGACAGTGTGGCGATTCCTCAAGGATCTAGAACCAGAAATACCATTTGACCCAGCAATCCCATTACTGGGTATATGCCCAAAGGAATATAAATCATTCTGTTATAAAGATACATGCACACGTATGTTTACTGCAGCACTATTTACAATAGTAAAGACATGAAACCAACCCAAATGTCCATCAGTGATAGACTGGATAAAGAAAATGTGGTACATATGCAGCACGGAATACTATGCAGCCATGAAAAAGGAATGGGATCACGTCCTTTGCAGGTACATGGATGAAGCTGAAAGCCATCATCCTCAACAAACTAACAGGGGAACAGAAAACCAAACACTGCATGTTTTCACTCATAAGTTGGAGTTGAACAATGAGAACACATGGACACAGAGAGGGGAACAACACACACTGGCGCCTGTCAGGGACGGGACAAGGGGAGGAAGAGCGTCAGGATAAATAGCTAATACATGCAGGTGATGGGTTGATAGGTGCAGTAAACCACCATGGCACATATATACCTGTGTAACAAACCTGCACGTTCTGCACATGTATCCTGAAACTTAAAGTAAAAATGAAAAGAAATAAAAAGAAAAAATGAAAAATTAATATATCACAACTGTACATATTTGGGGGATAAAAAAATAATAAGAGATGGGGCCGGGCATGGTAGCCCCACCTGCAATCCCAGCACTTTGGGAGGCTGAGATGGGTGGATCACTTGAGGTCAGGAGTGCGAGACCAGCCTGGGCAATATGGCAAAACCCCGTCTCTACTAGAAAAAAAAATACAGAAATAGCTGGGCGTGGTGGTGGGTGCCTGTAATCCCAGTTACTCAAAAGGCTGAGGCAGGAGAATTGCTTGAACCCAGGAGGTGGAGGTTGCAGTGAGCAGACATCATGCCACTTCACTGCAGCCTGGGCGACAGAGCAAGATTCTGTCTCAAAAAAAAAATAAATAAATAAAATAAAAAAGGAGAGAGAGATGGGGGTGCAGGATTCCCACAGAGGAAGGCCCCTGATAAGCACTGCTTCAAATCGCCTAGAAAAAGCACAGTTGCAGGAATATAGCCAATGGTCTTCTCCAGCTCCCGCCTGTCTTCCTTGTGAGGAGGAAGGTGAGGTTAGACTAGAATGGTGAATTAACTGTGTTAAACTCCATGGGAAGAGGCAAACAGTACCCCTGCTATAAGCCGGGTTAACTCTCTCAACTTGAATTATAGCATTATCTTTCTTAAAAATAAATTAAATTTCTACTTTTCTTTTTCGTTGTTAACATCTGTGCCAATCTGGTAAAAAACCCAAGGGGTAAATGCATATACTCTTGCCCTGGTCACAGACTACCAAGAAGCTAATATTATTGACCATAACCACTTTTTAAAAAAAAATTATTTCCCAGGCAGAGGCCAGGCATGGTGGCTCATGTCTGTAATCCCAGCATTTTGGGAGGCCAAGGTGGGAGGATCACTCGAGGCCAGGAGTTTGAGACCAGCCTGGGCAAGATAGCGAGACCCTGTGTCTTAAAAAATAAAAATAATAATAATAATAATAAAAATAGATATTAAATAAATAAAGAAAAATATTTCCCAGGCAGAATGTTTAAATATTGGCTTTTTTTGTTTAAAATATTTCACAGCACCTGCACTAGCCACATACCATCTTCGTGAATATTACCTTAGCCTCTGAGTCTCTGAACCAAGAAGAAACCAAGAAAACTTGCCTTTTTTTTTCTCTTAGAAACTGACTCTTTTGGGTTTTCATTAGTTCCCTAGCTGTTCTCAAACTTCTTTCTTTTTTCTTTTTAAACATATATATATAGAGAGAGAGAGAGAGAGAAGAAAGAGAGAGAGAGAGAAAGAAAGAGAGAGAGAGAAAGAGAGACAGGGTCTTCTGTCACCCAGGCTGAAGTTCAGCGGTGTAATTGGCCTTCTGAGTAGCTGGGACTACAGGCACACACAACCATGCCTGGGTAATTTTTTTATTTCTGTAGAGGTGGAATCTTGCTATGTTGCCTAGGCTGGTGTCGAACTCCCGGCCTCAAGCGATCCTCCTGCTTCAGACTCTCAAAGTACTGGGATTAAAGGTGTGAGCCACCGCTCCCACCCTTTTTTTCAACCTCAGTGCTCCTAGATAGTTGGCAAGATGATACTCAGAGAGACAAAGTCTCAGGGAAGAATTCAGCTTCAAGTCCACTTTCTGGAATTGACTGTAATTCGCCACCTTCTCTTCTTCAGACAGTAACTTAGACTCTCAAGTGAGTGATAATGGTTATGAACCAGCTCTAATTGTTAAAAAAGTGACTCACGTGCAAGCTTCTGCACTTCATTAATAGTAACTGCTTACTGGTGACACACTTGTAAACCGACGTGGACAAAGGCACGGGCTGAACCGCAGAGCCCTCTGGGAGGTCCCTGGGCCCCTGGCTTAATCCAAAATGACTCCACTTCAACTTTAAACGGAAACTTCCTTTAGTTGGAATTAGGTTGAGATTTGTTGATAGGACTCTAAACTCGATGCCTGCTTTCTCCTAGAGAAAATTTGCAAAACTTGGTTTCTCCAAATAAGGTTTAAATTTAAAAACATTCTCTATGCAGTTATTTTTAACCTTATTTCATTTCCCTGATAACATAATTAAGAGCATTTGTCTATCATCAGGCTTTGAGTAGACAGGAGCTATCTAGGGGCCAAACTTTCTGAATGTGTAAATTCTTGGCAATTAACATCTTTTCAGAGCCTGCATCACCTCTGCTAAAATCAGTGTCAGCAGCAGAAGTTTCATGACAGCACCGTCCTTTTTTTTAAAGTAAAGATTTTTGTAGTTCTTTATAAAAGTGGCACAGCTCCATTTCAGCAATATGGAAGAAGAGATAAGCCTCTAATAGCAAAACCAGCCAATGCCAGATAAATACAGGTTATAAATGTAATAAATGTTTTCTAATGCAGAGGTGAGATGAGAAGAAAGAAAGGGAAACACTCAGGAGTGAAGAAGTTAACAACTAAGATGGTGAGTCAATGCCCTTGGAAATGTGCTGACTGAAAGGCTGAAAAAGGAAAGGAAGCAAGACCCTCGGTCACGACACTGAACTGAGTTTCCCTGCAAAAAGCTGGAACCGCCAGCAAAAAAGGTAGACTAGAAAGACCAGGAAGAAAAAAGAAAAAGGAAGCAGAATGAAGGATATAGTAACAGACCAGAACTCACTATAGAAACAATTAAAAATGGAATAAATGAAGCCAAAGATTAGTTCTTTGAAAATAAAACAAATACCTGGCAAGAGAAAGAAAGTGGGGGAGGGGGGTGGGAGGAGGGAGAGAGAGAGACAGAAAAGACACAGATATCAAGATTATTAGAAACAAAAAAGGGTACATAACTTCAGAAAAAAAATTTAAGAGACAGTGCTCTGATGAATTTATACCAAAAAGTATGAAAACTTAGATAAATTGGATATACTGTCCTTAAAAATATAATTTATCAAAAATGAATTAAGAAAAAAACCTGGCTAAAAACTATTTTATTTTATTTATTTAATTTTATTTATTTATTTTTTTGAAACAGAGTCTTGCTTTGTTGCCCAGGCTGGAGTGCAATGGCATGATCTCAGCTCACTGCAACCTCTGCCTCCCAGGTTCAAGATTCTCCTGCTTCAGCCTCCCAAGTAGCTGGGATTACAGGCGCATGCCACCACGCCCGGCTAATTTTTGTATTTTTAGTAGAGACTGGGTTTCACCATGTCGTCCTGGCTGGTCTCAAACTCCTGACCTCAGGTGATCTACCCACCTCGGCATCCCAAAGTGCTGGGATTACAGGCATGAGCCACCTCGCCCGGCCACTATAAACTATTTTAAATTGAATCAGCAGTTTAAAAAATATAATCTAGGCCGGGTGCGGTGGCTCACGCCTGTAATCCTAACACGTTGGGAGGGTGAGGCAGGCGGATCATGAGGTCAGGAGATTGAGACCATCCTGGCTAACACGGTGAAAAAAAAATTAGCTGGGCATGGTGGCAGGCGCCTGTAGTCCCAGCTACTCTGGAGGCTGAGGCAGGAGAACGGCGTGAACCTGGGAGGCAGAGGTTGCAGTGAGCGGAGATCATGCCATTGCACTCCAGCCTGGGTGACAAGGTGAGACTCCGTCTCAAAAAAAAATATGTATATATAATCTATCCACCCCACAAAAAAATGCAGGCTAAGATGAGTTTACAGGCAAATCAGACATTCAAGGAACAGGTAATTTCAATTCTATACAAACATATTCAGAGTTTGGAACAGGAGGAAATGATCTACTAATAATTTTATAAGGTTGGAAACCAAAGATAGGATAAGAAAGACAAACTATAGATTAATAAGTCCCAGTAATAATACATGGAAGCATCGTAAATAAAATATTAGCAAGCCAAAGTGCATCATGGCCGGGCGCGGCGGCTCACGCCTGTAACCCCAACACTTTGGCAGGCCGAGGCAGGCGGATCACTTGAGGCCGGGAGTTCCAGACCAGCCTGGCCAACCTAGAGAAACCCCGTCTCTGGTAAAAATACAAAAAATTTGTATTTTTTTGGATTACAGGTGTGTGCTGGGCTTGGTGGCACACACCTGTAATCCCAGCTACTCAGGAGGCTGAGGCACGAGAATTGCTTGAACCCAGGAGGCAGAGATTGCAGTGAGCCGAGATTGTGCCACTGCACTCCAGCCTGGTGACAGAGCAGGACTCTATCTTAAATAAATAAATAAATAAATAAATATTTTAAAAGTACATCATGATCAAGCTGAGTTTAAATCAGAAATGCAAGATAAAGACAATGCTTTCTTAATGTAAATCACCATATAAACAGAACGGAGGGGAGACACAATCACCACAGCAGATACAGGAAAGTTATTTGATAAAAGTCAACACTTACTCCTGTTAAAACTCCTAGCAAACTAAAAAGAGACGTTAACTCTTTTAACCTGATAAACAATGTCAATTATAACCCCGTGTAAACATTATACTTAAAACAATAGAAACGTTTCTGTAAAATCAGGAATAAAAACAAGATGCCAACAATCACTGCTTCTAATCAACATTAGGTTGAAGGTTTTAGCTGGTGAAATAAGACGAGAAAATTAAACAAAAAGTATGAGAGTACAGAAATGTGATTTTGGGTATGGAAGGGATGAAACAAGCCTATGGTTATTTGCAGATAACATAATTGTTTACATAGAAACTTCCCAAACATATACATTATTAGCAAAGTTCTATATCCATAATCAAAATTTTAAAAATAATTGCATTCCAGCTGGGTGTGGTGATTCATGCCTGAATCCCAGTGCTTTGAGAGGCTGAGGCAGGAGGAACACTTGAGGCCAGGAGTTCAAGACCAGCCTGGGTAACATAGCAAGATCCTGTCTCTACAGAAATAAAAAATAAAAAAATAAAAAATTAGCTGGGCATAGTAGCACACACATATAGTTCCAGCTACTCAGAAGTTGAGGGGGGAGGATCACTTGAGCCCAAGAGTTCGAGGCTGCAGTGAGCTATGATCACCCCACTGTACTCCAGCCTGCATGACAGAGGGAGACTCTGTCTCAAAAAGAGATTTAAAAACAAAATAAAACTGCATTCCTATATATCAGTGAAAGAGAAAATATTTTTAAGACTATAGTGTTTATGATGGTGACCAAAAAAAGTACATAAAAATAAATCTAACAAAAGATGTGCTTAATCTTTATGGACAAAATTGTACAACTGCATTGAAATATGCCAAAGAAAACACACATACTGGTTACGTGCATTTGGGAACATTTATAGTTGAAAGATCAAAACCCATAATCTTGCTACCAGACAATGCTTCCTTCCAGGATGTTTTTATGCTTTAAAAAATATATAGTTTAGGCCAGGCGTGGTGGCTCACACCTGTAATCCCAGCGCTTTGTGAGGCTGAGGTGGGCGGATCATGAGGTCAGGAGATCGAGACCATCCTGGCTAACAGGGTGAACCCCCGTCTCTACTAAAAATACAAAAAAATTAGCCGGGCGTGGTGGCGGGCGCCTGTAGTCCCAGCTACTCGGGAGGCTGAGGCAGGAGAATGGCGTGAACCCGGGAGGCGGAGCTTGCAGTGAGCCGAGATTGCACCACTGCACTCCTGCCTGGGTGACAGAGTGAGACTCCGTCTCAAAAAAAAAATTAAAAATTAAAAAATATATATGTATAGTTTAACTTATTCAGTATACATAATTTTGTATCCTGCCTTTTTAGCCATACCTGATATGAGCATTTCTTCAAGATACTAGCTTCGTAAACATAGCCTGAGAAGACGCACATCTTTTATGTCTTGGATGGCAGTTCCTTGCTTCCCCCTTTTGGAGTCCTACAAGAGCTGGCTCAGGGGGACTGGGAGAGCTCAGCTCCATAGTAAAATCTAGGGTGCTGTATAAAAACTCCCCCTGCTGAGCTCTGGTGGCCTCCTTCCTAACAAAGCCACTCCCCCAACTGGAAGCGTTGTTACCCTTCCCATTTTCTGTTAAACAGGAGCAGGTCTCTCTCCTGTACCACATCCTGCTGTGTGTCCACCATACCCACCTCTCTGTGCAATGAGAGCTCGGGGGTCATGTGGACTCCACTGCTCCCTGCTCGCAATTTCTCCTTAATACATCTTACTTTATGCCCGTTCTGTGTGTTGCTAGTATGTATGTGTGACACTGTGTGTGTGTGTGTGTGTGTGTGTGTGTGTGACACTGTGTGTGTGTGTCCCTGCCCTTATGGAACATTGGACATAGCCTTTAAACATTTTTTTTTCCAGATGGAGTTTCACTCTTGTTGCCCAGGCTGGAGTGCAACGGCACGATTTCGGCCCACTGCAACCTCCACCTCCGTGATTCTCCTGCTTCAGCCTCCCAAGTAGCTGGGATTACAGGCATGTGCCACCATGCCAGGCTAATTTTTTGTATTTTTAGTGGAGACTGGGTTTCACCATGTTGGCCAGGCTGGTCTCAAACTCTTGACCTCAGGTGATCCACTCACCTCAGCCTCCCAAAGTGCTGGGATTACAGGCGTGAGCCACCGCGCCCGGCCTAAACACTAAATAATAAGCCATCATAGAGAAAGCTCATATTGTTAACTTACTGTTGGACAATTAGGATATTTCCAATGTATTGCTTATTTTAAATAAAGCCCTGATGACTATCTTCGTGTCTAATGTTTTGTTTACATTATTTCAGCTCATCTCCTTAACATAAATTTCTATCAGTGGAATTGCTGGTTTATGCCGTTATAAAATTTTTCATGTTATTAATACAGACTGCCAAATTTCTTTGCAGAAAGCTTATGCCAATTTACAGACCTGTTGGCAGTGTGCAAGAGTGTGCCTGTTTCCCCATATCCCTAGCCTGTGAACAAAGGGGCATGATCCAGGACAGGCCCCATCCCTCACCTGCTGCTCTTTGCTTCACAGCATCGACTGAAAATCGGCCAGGTGCGGTGCCTCACACCTGTAATCCCAGCACTTTGGGAGGTCGAAGCGGGTGGATCATTTGAGGTCAGGAGTTCAAGACCAGCCTGGCCAACATGATGAAACCCCATCTCTACTAAAAATACAAAAATTACCCAGGCATGGTGGCGTGCACCTGTAATCCCAGCTACTCAGGAGGCTGAGGCAGGAGAATCTCTCAAACCTGGGAGGTGGAGGTTGCAGTGAGCCGAGATCGCGCCACTGCACTCCAGCCTGGGCGACAGAGCGGGACTCCATCTCAAAAAAAAAAAAAATTCTTGCTAAACAGGGCTGTGTCCTGGTAGTCCTCCTTTTAAATCTTTATTTAGAGAACTTGCTCATCTTGAGCCAAGTTGATTAGAGTTTCCTGCTGCCGCAAATAGGAGGGCAAGTGAGTCACTGCATGTGGAGGACATAGTTTTATTGTCTAGGGGAGAAGGCGCTGTCAAAATCTCTCAATCTGTTGGGCTTGTGAGGAGGAAGAGATTAGCATTCGTTACGACAAAACTACAGTTATTGCATTTGTCTTTCACCATCATTTAAACAATACCTCTGAAGCCACTCCTGCAATAGATTGATTATTCAGCTGTTTAGGAAAACAATTTGCAGATAACTCAATCTACTAAGCTTGAGTAGGTTATTTGTAGGTAAGAAATCCTGTGTTCAAGTATGACCTATCTTTACAAAGAAGAAAAAGAAAGAAATCCTAGTGGATGGAGAGACTATGGAGAATGATTTTTGGTAAGAAAATGGTTCTCAGCTGGGCATGGTAGCTCATGCCTAAAATCCCAGCACGGACAGGCAGAGGCGGGAGGATTCCTTGAGGCCAGGAGTTTGAGACCAGCCTGGGCAATAGCTCAAGACCCCTTCTCTGAAAAAAAAAAAAAAAAAAAAAGTGGTTCTCAAAAGGCAGAGGGTGCATCAGCATTTTAACACATGTCCAGAGTGATTCTGATGCAGGTGGTCCGTGGACCCCACGTTCAGAAACACTTCCCTTAAAATAAAATGATAGTATCCACTCTTAACAATGTTTGTAAGCCAAAACCATCTCGCTGAAGTTGTCAGGCAGAGAAATTTGAAGCCTTGATCAAGTTTTATTCTAAAAAATACTCATAGCCTTGTTCTTGCTGCTCAAGTGTTGGCCAGAATGAACTGACCTTGGCTCTCACCAGGATGCAAGTCAGGCCCTTCAGGTTCCGTCAGATTGTCAGACAACTGAAACTTGTTCTCACTCTGGCCAAACGCATAAACTTGGGGAGCAGAGAGCTGGGAGATTTGCGCCTAAAGAGTTGATATTGGAGAGAAACAGGTCTCTCCTCTCTCTTCTCTCCCCGTGACCCTCCATTTTCTACTTCACTGAAAGAACCAAAGCCGTGCCCTTCATCTCCTTCAATGCCCAGAGCCTTCTCCGCACCCTCCCCGGGGCCCCGGGGCTCCCTCCTGCCCGGATGGCTCACTGCTCTGCCTCTGTGTCTCCGACGTTCTTTCTGCCTTTCTCCTTCTCTCCTGCCTGTGAGCATGTTCAGGTGTCTGTTGGCCTAAAACAAGTCTGTCATCCGTCTGTGTCCTCCTCGTCCCTCCAGCAGCATGAAAGCCGGGCTTCCCCTGCCGCCTCTTCTTTACCACGCACTGCTCGCTCTGCCCCCACCTCACTCACTTCGCTCAAGCCGTTTTCCTCAGAGCTACCAGAATCTCCTTCCCAACAGCAAAAACGATTTTCTCCAGTCCTCACGCGTCTCATCAGTTCGGCCCCATCCATTCATTCATTCATGAATCTGACAGATGTGTATTGCGCCCCCCCCTCCACGTGCTCTCCCTGGCCGGCGGCCCCGTGCCACCACCCAGCCTCACCCTCATTGAAGCTGACGGGTCCTGCTCCACCGTCCACGCTCCCGGGCCCTCCACTCCACTCCCCTTGCCACCTCTCTCCCCCGCTCCACGCCCAGATGACATGTCTCCAGCCCTTTCCCTCTCCTGCTGCCCCTCCCTCTCTGGCCACCCTGCGTCTACTCTCACGCCTTACAAATCTGTACTTCTCCCTGACTTCCCACCCATATGCTGGCCTCACCCTCCCAGGGATTTCCTGCCTAGCTCATGCAATGCAACAGGTCCAGGTCAATCTTTCCTTGCAAGCTTTCTTCCTTCCTTCTGTTCATGCTAACAACAGTCCCCCAGACATCCAGCCCAGAAAGCTGTGGGTCCTCTGGATTTCTTTCTCTTCCTTGTCCCCTGTGTCCTAGTCAGTACTCGTTGATCTTCCTCCCAAGTGTTCACCCCATCGCGTCCTCTTGTTTGCTTTGCCACATCCTCCCCGTCGCTTTGACTACTGCGGCAGCCTCCTCACTGCCCCTGCTGACTCGGGTTCCGCACCCCTGCTCTCAGCCTCCACCGCACCCCTGTGGGTTGATCCTCAGCTCTGAGGGCCAGGAGGGAGGGTTGCTGCTGCTGTCTCCTTAGCTCGAATTGCTTTGGAAAATGGCCTGCCCTGCCTGCCCTGGAAGGTGTCTGGTAGGTCCTGGGGTCACAGACTGGTGACTGGCATTGGTCCTGGGTGTCTGCGTAGGTCCCGGGGGCGTGGGTCTAGTGGTCAGAGACTGGTGACTGGCATTGCCATTGTGACACGGATGTCAGAAACCAGAATCCTCAGAGGGAGGCCACTGGGCAAGAATGACCTTCGTCTGGTTGTGACTGAGGAAAGATACTTCCAGCGCGTCTGTGTGCGTGGCAGGGTGGCTTCTGTAATAAGAAATGGCCACGCCAAGGGATTTCTCGTTTCTGCGGGAGACATTGTTCAGTTTTGTAGCCGGCAGCTTAAATTCAAAATGCATTTTAAACATGTTTTCCCCTTTCTCTTGGGTTTCCAAATACAACCTTGAGGCAGCTGCAAAGGCCGTTTTCCTCAGCCTAAAAATAGACTTCACGCCCCTCCCTTTTCTCACGATCTGTACACACTCCCTCCCTCTTCTCACCGTCTGTACACACTCCCTCCCTTTTCTTGTCATCTGTATACACTCCCTCCCTTTTCTTACTGTCTGTATATACTCCCTTCCATTTCTCTGCGTGCGAGGATCGAATTATATGTCTTCCTAAAAGTTGCAGGGGCTAAAACCTTGAGAGAGACAAACCACATCTGAAAATCCAGCTGCAAAATCCCAGAAATTACTTCAAGACAGCTCTTGTTAAAATAATGTCAGCCAGAGGTCCGGACGGACTGGGACCCAGAAGAGCCACCAGAACAAGACATGCGGACACAGGACTCAGCCCGATTCTTGCGTGCCTTCCTTATCAAGGCTTTCCCCTCTGAAAATTAAAGCAGCTACTTTAAGTAGAAATCTGGCTGCTTCCCCTTTACTAGTTTTGGTTAATAAATTCACGTTCTTCCTACCAGACCTTATGAATTAAACTATCCGTTTAATATAATATAAACTCTCTGCAAGCAGCGAGAGCCTCCGCATCTGCGCTGGGTCGAGTGACTGAGGGTCAGCTGACTTGTGATGAACACACCAGGGAGGTGGGGCTTCTTTTTACTTCTCTCGTAGGCACGTTATGACTCTATGAATAATACAAATGTTCACAGCTCATGTTCATGTGGTGCTTTATAGCTTATCTTGTTAATAGCGGCCCCATTTCACAGGCGGGGAAATCGAGATTCAGCGGCCCCATTTCACAGGCAGGGAAATTGAGATTTGAAGAGACCGAGTGATATTATATGCCTTGGAAGTAGCAGGGCCGGGGGCTCGGGGTAAGAGCCATTGCTCGGAAGCTGCGAGCTGCTCAGCTCTGGGACTGCCACCGAGTGGATGGAGAGCTGAGGCAAAGATGGAGAAATGGTCACTGACCTGCCCCAAGTTCTTGGACTGCCACATGCAGAGGGCTCTGAGCCTGAGGCCGAGCCAGGCACATTCTCGGGGTGGACGCTGTGACACTGGGGTGTTTTTGCAATGTTCCTGGTGTCTCTTTTCTGGGATGATGTTAGAGTGAGTGTGAAGGCTGTTGACACCTTAAGGTGACAAGATCACTGTGAGAAGACACACGTGTGTCATTGAGTAAAACGGATAGTTTTTAAGACATTCTCTCAGAGGAAGAGTCTCCATCCAGGGACGAGGAGGGCACTGGCGTTGGCACTGAGGTAGAGACGTTCCCCACATCTGAGTCCTTGAAGGCTCTGTCAAGCCTCTGCCATCACGTCAGCCAGAGATCTCCCATCAAGGTAGTTCTTTTCTCTCCTTGAACCACGTCAGGTGGGAGACGGCCCACAGCTGCCTCACGTCTGTTAGGGCTCCAGGATGTGAAGGCCGAGTGGCAGTAGGCATCGTTTTCCCCAGATGGCCCCTCTGGTGACTCCACAGGTGTGCCGAGGTGACAGGTGTGCTGTTGGCTCGGGAGAAGGAGTGGCAGCAGTATGAGTGACGCTGGCAGAAGACAGATTCCAAGAAGGGTGAAGCCACTCCCTGAAGACACACAAAGCCTGCGGCTTTCTAAGTGCTGTGGGTTGAGGCTTATTCCTAGCATCTGGTCTGTTTGTCTTGGGTTTTTCCTGGAACTGGAGGTGAGGAACCCGTAAGCCGTATCGCCACAGTGTTTCACTTTCCTGGAGGGGAATTACTTCCTGACGGGTGGGGCCCCTTGCCAGGCTGCCTCGGGCAGGGCAGTGTAAGCCCAAGGGAAGTGCCCAACGGTAAGGATGGCCTTGAGGAGAACATTCAGCCCCACACAGGCAGCAGGCGGCCCGGAAGGCGCGCAGACGCTGAACCGCTGGCCCCACCGCCTTTGGCAGGGAGCTAATGCTATTTGTGTATCAGCCCAGAATCAACTGTGACCAGGGTTGTGTCCACTGGGTACTTCCCTAGAATTCAAGATGAGGAAAGACACTAACTCAAGATACCCTTGGAATAACAGACCTCTTGTGATCTCCAGCGCCTGAAACGAGACTTGGCATACAGCAGTGACTTCGTACACATCTGTGGAATACATCCCAGGCCCTGTGGCCTTTGTTGCCTTCAGCCGAGGCTGGAGAGAGGGTGACGTTGCCTGTTTCTTTATCTTTATCTTTTTTTTTTTTGAGATGGAGTCTCGCTCTGTCGCCCAGGCAGGAGTGCAGTGGTGCGATCTCAGCTCACTGTAACCTCCACCTCCCAGGTTCAAGTCCCTTCACAGTGGACTCCAAGGCGAGAACTTTACCCGTTCTTTCCAACGATCCCCGCCGAAGTCACACCCCAACCCATGGATCCCACCACCGGTCATTTGACCTCATTTCTGTCAGCATCTGGTGTGGCAGCACCCAGCCACTCTGGTGATCGCCACAGAAGCTCCAGCACCAAACCAAGAAGCACCAAAATCCGGCTGTGAGCACAGCACGCCGGCCAGCTCAACTCTCTTTTCCCCAACGCCTCCTTCTCGGAGGTGCCATCTCCAGTCTCCACCATCTTGGTGTTGCCACCCATCTCTCCTGGCTCCCACTGGGGCAGGCACATCCTCCTAGCCTAGCGCTGTCCTCAGGAGCCTGGCTGCCTCTCCACAGTGGTTAGCCTCGGGCTGTCCTGGTGTGGTGGTGTGTGCCTGTGATCCCAGTTGGAATCAAGTGCTTCTCCTGCCTCAGCCTCCTGAGTAGCTGGGATTACAGGTGCCCACCACCATCTCCTGCTAATTTTTGTATTTTTAGTAGAGACGGGGTTTTGCCATGTTGGCCAGTCTGGTCTCAAACTCCTGACCTCAAGTGATCTGCCCGCTTCAGCTTCCCAGAGTGCTGGGATGACAGCCATGAGTCACTGTGCCTGGCCTTGTCTGTCATTTCAATTACTCAAAATCCATAATCTGGGCCGGGCGCAGTGGCTCACACTGGTAATCCCAGCACTTTGGGAGGCCAAGGTAAGCAGATCACTTGAGGTCAGGAGTTCGAGACTAGCCTGACCAACATGGCAAAACCCCATTTCTACTAAAAATACAAAAATCAGCAGAGCATGGTGGCATGTGCCTGTGATCCCAGCTACTCGGGGGGCTGAGGCACGAGAATCCCTTGAACCCTGGAGGCAGAGGTTGCAGTGAGCCGAGATAACGCCACAGCACTTCAGCCTGGGTGACACAGTGAGACTCTGTCTCAAAAATATAAATAAATAAAATAACATAAAATTCATAATCTATTCCACAGCTTGCAAAGCCCTGCGCGATCTAACACCTGCCTTCTCTTTCAAGTCCTCCAAGGGGCCAAGCTCTTTCCTGCCTCTCCATGAGCTCCGCCTCTGCCTGCTCAGGCCTGGCACCTTCTCCACCTGGCTGTCCTCAGCCTCAGGCCTCAGCTCCCCGCAGAACGGTTCCTCACAGGGCCCTTCCTGACTTGTCAGTCAGATGCACCTCCCCTACTCTCTGGCCATTCGAAATGCAGCTCTCAGCACACCCTGTACTTTTCCACACTGCATTTACCACATGTGCAGTTGAGAACATTTCCGTAATTATTTGATGTCTGTCTGCACCAAGATTTTAGTGCCAAGAGACTGGGCCACGTCTGTTTCACTCTTCACTGTGTGCATCCAGTGCTGTGTCCTAGAACAATGTCAGGAACTTAAGGCAGGCGTTTCCTAAATGGTGGTTTAATTAACAAATGAATGAATGAATGGCTGTCTCAGCAGGGTGTGTGAATGCTTCTGTTCTTCCCTCCGTCGGTGGGCTGGGCTGGTTTGGAGATTGCCGAAAGGCTGTGTGCTGCAGTGAGTCAGGAGACCTGGGTTCTAGTCCCAGCTGCCTCACTTATGGGTTCTATGATCTTAAACAAGTCACTTAACTTAGAGAGCTTTGAAAAGCAGGAACTGTGACGCATTCATCTTCCTGTCCAGAGCAGCTGGCATGAGTAGAAATTCTGCAAGTGAATGAACAACTCCAAAGTCTAGGCTGTTTCTTATTCCAAATTCCCCCAAAATCCACTGGCCACTGGACTTTTGGAACCTAAACTGCAACCTGGGCGGGGCGGCATCTCTACAGAGAGTCGATGTCTGTCCTCTGTGGTCCCTAAACACATACACGGGGAGTGGAGCTGCGGGCAACCCAGGCCAGTGCCCTTCCTCCAAGCAGGGCCGCCATTGCAAGGCCTCACGTGCAACACAAATGCCCAGTTCCTGAGACTTCTTCAGAGTCTCCAGGAAAAGGGTGAAAAGGCATTTAAACCTCTATGAAGTAGGGCCAGGCACAGTAGCTCACGCCTATAATCCCAGCACTTTGGGAGCCGAGGCGAGCGGATCACCTGAGGTCAGGAGTTCGAGACCAGCCTGGCCAACATGGTGAAACCCCATCTCTACTAAAAATACAAACATTAGCCGCTGTGGTGTTGGGCGTCTATAATCCCAGCTACTCGGGAGGCTGAGGCAGGAGAATCTCTTGAACCCGGGAGGCAGAGGCTGCACTGAGCTGAGACCACGCCACTGCACTGCAGCCTGGGGGACAGAGAGAAACTCTGTCTCAAAAAACAAACAAACAAACCCAAAAAACCAACAACAACAGCAACAATAAAAAAACCGTCTATGAAGAAATCGTCGATGAGGTGCCAACAGACTCAGTTATTTTGACTCAATTTCTCAGAACATGCTGGGGCGGGAACTCAGCCTAGCAGTAAGAAAGACGTATATTTAAGGTAAAAGGCTGAAACTAGGGGGAGAGAGAGCCTATAAGGTCTCTGTCCTGGCCTTCAGAGAAGTGGCTCTGTGAGCTACACGATGTGCATATTTTAAGCACTTAACAGCACCGTGAAATCAGAGAAAAGACACAGAGTAGCAAAACCACCCGTTGAGCGTACAAAAGGCCAACCACTTCTTGTCCTCTCATTGCCTCTTGTCCTTAGCAATGAAGACACAAATCACTTGCGTGTCAAGCACTGCCAGGCCAGCCTCTGCCAGGCCAGCCTCTGCCTCCACGGCTGAGCCCAGAAACCAAGGGCGTGGCGGGACTCACAGGCAGGGAGCGGTGAGGCAGAGCTGTCCGCTGGAGCGAGCCCCTGCTCTAGGGCCATGGCCCTCGGGGTCCGTTCATGCAGCAAGCCACATTCTGAATACACCAAGCCAGCCCTTGCAAACCCACAGGAAGCACGGGGTGGCTTTTTAGAGGCACGAGGATCCTTAGATGAAGGGATATGACCCTGGGCCGACACAAGTGCCATTCCGGGTTCAATCACCCTCCTTCCCCCGTCTTCCCAGGCCTCTTTCTCAAACACGTCTTTATGGCTTTTCTTTTTTTTTTAGACAGAGTCTTGCTCTGTCACCCAAGCTAGAGTGCTGCCATTTCGGCTCCCTGCAACCTCTGCCTCCCAGGTTCAAGCCATTCTCCTACCTCAGCCTCCCGAGTAGCTGGAATTACAGGCGCTCGCCACCACGCCCGGCAAAATTTTTTATTTTTAGTGGAGACAGGGTTGGCCAAGCTGGTCTTGAACTCCTGACCTCAGGTGATCCACCCGCCTGGGCCTCCAAAAGTGCTGGGATTACAGCGTGAGCCACCGCGCCCGGCCCTTTATGCCTTTTCTACTTTACACCAGATGCTGTCTCGTTTCATCCTCATGACAACCCTACGTAGTAGCCCCTTCCCCCTGGGCTCAGTTTGCCGATGAAGAGCCTAAGACTCCAGAGCCAAAAGGCGTTGCCTGTGTTCCCTGGGCTGCCAAGGGCGTCGCTGATGCTGGACCTCTGAGTTTCAGCCCCTGCTCTTCCCTGTGCACCTTGCTGGTCGTTGGCCAAAATTTGGCTGATGTTCCTGGCAGGACCTCTTGTCCAGGGATCCTTTCCTTTTGAGTGTCCTGGAGCACAGTGGGGTTTCCCAGAGGGGCAGAGGGGTCTGTGGAGAGTTTTGGTGTCCTCGGTGGCAAGTTGAGGTGGCCTGTCCCAGACTGACAGATAGACCGGGGGTTCTCCGAGGAGGGGCCCATAAAGACCCTTCCCCGTGGAGTGCGCTGTGGCCGGCGTCCCCTCCCCTGCCTGCCCTGCACTTGCTCCAGCCTGTCACCTCCCTGGGGTCACTGATAGTGCTGGAGACCAAGGCCTATTTCGACCCAGTTGCCTTTCCCTGTGGCATGGAACCAGGACGGCCAGGCTTCCTTCTGAGTCATTCCTGCCTGGGGCGACCAGTAGACACCAAATTTCCATCTGTCCTTGTCTAGCCCACCTCTGTCTGCTGTGCCTTATCCTTTAACCCTTGAGAGCCAGGGCTGTTCCTTAAGGAAACCCTCATTGCGGCAGCTCCTTTGTGGAAACCCTGTGTTTTTCCTCTGGCCTGGGCTTCAGTGTGACCCAGCCTGGGTGAGGGTCCTGCCGGCAAGTGTGCAAACAGACCCTAGACTCAAGTATAGGCAGGTCATCTGTAAACCCCTTCAGGGAGCCAAAAGGAACGGGGCTGGCTGGCTGCCAGTCCTCCAGCAGCTGCCCTGTGGGGGTGGGGGCTGCCCACCCGCCCTTGGTGACTGCTTTTCCTGCCAAGGCCCTGGTCATGCCCGGTCAGATGTGTGGGTGCCATCTCCCAGCCACGACCATCTCCTCTCCTGGCCCAGCTCCACTTGGTCCCCTTAGCGACGCAAAGGACTCAGCGCTCCACGACATGCCTAGCTTCTTCGGGTCGTCATGGAGACGCCCTTGCACACCAACAGTCCTTCACTCCTTCTCCGGGTCACGCCCCCGTGCTTTTCCACGCCCACCCCAGGTCTTGCCCCTCTGCGCTCCTCTCCACAGACCCCACTTCCTGGCTCCACATGGAGCTGAGTGTCCAGCTGGTACCCAGCACATTTGGGCTCAGCTTTAAATCACAGATTTGGAAACTCAAGAACTTGGGCGTCAGGAGGTCCAACCGTTCACCACTGCTTTTTACACAGGGGACCGGGGCCCTGGGGAGACACGGGGCAGGGCCTGGTCACAGGGGCCAGAACAGTTCACGGCAAAGACTTGGCCCTGGGGCTCCTAAATCCAAGCTGCCTCCCCGGCGCCCCAAGCCCCAGCCTCGCTCTGGGAGTCATGATTCCCGTGGAGACTCCTTCAACCACATCTGCAGGGCAGGGCCGTGTGGCGGCTCCTTCCGGCCTCCACGTCCTCACGGTGGGATGAGCACTGGAGCGGGGTTGTGTGGCCAGGGTGGGGTGGGGGTGCTGGAGGGTGGGGAGGTGTAGGGAGGTGGTGGCAGTTTCCTTTGCCCTCAGCCTAGTCCTGAAACATCCCGAGGTGGAAGGGTCCGCTTCACCAGCATGGCTTCTCTTGCAGCCTTTAAACGGCACTCGCCTTCTGACTCACTCCCAGGAAGCTCCTCAAATATGCGCCCAAGAAATATTTTCCCTCGGCGACTGTTCTTAGCCTGCTGAGAGGCAGGGCAGGAGCTGAGACTCTAACCCCAGCTTGAACTCTGGACCCCAGACTCTCCCCCAAAGACTCAGACACCCAGAAACACAGAATAAAACTTGGTCCTGAAGCCAGAGGGACAGCCTGGAAAGTGTGGGGAAGAGGACGGGGGCCCCCGAGGGAACATCTCCCACAGGCCTGGCATCCCTCCCCTCCCAGCTCTGTACACGGAGGAGCCCAAGGCCAATGCCGGGGCTACGAGCCCCAGGCAAGGCCGTGACCCAAATGGAGGCTTTTAAACCCGAGCTCAGAGGTAAGAAGCCCACGGCCAGCACCTCCCGGCCCTCTGCGCCCTGGCCGCCTCCTCCGCACCACCCTCCCGGCCGGCCTGCCCCTCTCCTCCTTGTCGCTTCCCTTGCTTGCTGCTGTCTCCCGATCTTCTCCTCTCTCCATTCCCAGGGTCCTCAGTTTGTCTGCGTCTCACCTGTCTCGTCCTCTCACCCTGCAGCTTTACATGAGTTTTCTTCCGTCTCCATCACCCAGCTTTCCTGGCATCCCCTCTACCCCCAGCTCTGTACACAAGGGTGTACATCTTTCTCCTTGACTCTGTTCCTCTTGCTCTGGCTCTGCCTGTCTTTCTCTCTGCGAGTAAGCCTGGGCTCTCACCATGGATCCTTCCAGACATCGCCGGGCTGCTCTCTGGCCCTCTGTTCTCTTTTCTCTCTCTTTCGAGCATTCTCCCTCTGTCTTTCCCCTCAGATCTTGTCCCGTATCTGCCAGTTCATGCCTCCTCTTCCCCACTTTTCTCCTCTTCTTATTTTTTATTTTATTTTATATTTATTTATTTATTTATTTATTTATTTATTTATTTATTTATTTTGAGACAGAGTCTCGCTCTCTCTCCCAGGCTGGAGTGCAGTGGCGCGATCTTGGCTCACTGCAACCTCCACCTCCCAGGTTCAAGTGATTCTCCTGCCTCAGACTCCTGAGTAGCTGGAATTACAGGTGGGGCCCACCACGACCGGCTAATTTTTGTATATTTAGTAGAGACGGGGTTTCACCATGTCGGCCAGGCTGGTCTCGAACTCCTGACCTCAGGTGATCTCCTGCCTTGGCCTCCGAAAGTGCTGGGATTACAGGCATGAGCCACCGCGCACGGCCTCCACTCTTCTTTCTCTCTCCCTCTTCTCTTCCTCTTCTTTCCCTCTCTGGGTCTCTCTCCACCTTCCCCCCATGTTGTCCCATTCATCTCTTTCTCCTTTCCCTCTCCCTCTTTTTCTCTCCCTTCTCTTCCTCTTCGCTGTCTCCCTTTCCCCTATTCTCTCTCTCTCTCTCTCTGTCTCCCCGGACCTCTTTCTCTGACAGCTCCCACCTCCCCCAAGTGCTCCCCGCAGCCAGCCTCATCTGCTGTCTCCATCACTTACCTGGGACCACATGCGGAAGGAGGCAGAGACACAGGCAGCTCAGGGACACCCAGGGGACCCTCCTCCAGCGTGCCCCCTTCATGGCTGCGGCAAAAGTCCCCCTGGCTCCCTGGGGAAGCTCCACGGCCCAGCAGCTGCAGTGTGAGGAGCAGACGTGAGCCCGTCCCCTCAGGCGGCTGGCCCGAACCAAGTGCGTTTCTCCGAAGGGGCCAGGGAACCTGGGAAGAGGACAAAAGAGGGCGGGGCCCCACGCTAATCACCCTTTTCTCTCCTCAGCCCCACCCCACTACCCCACCAGGAAAGAAAACACCGATACACCCGTTGCTCTGCTTCTCATCAGCCTGAGCTGAGTGGCGGGAGGGATGGGAGGAGACATGGGGGAATGGGAACAGGTCACACTGGAAATGGGTGGGCCACCCTCCTAGCCGGGTTCCTGGGTCCTCTCCTCCCTCCCCAGGGGCTGCCCCTGTCCCACCAGAGCTTTGGGCTGCTGGGAAGAATGGGGAAGAAAGGGCCCCAGAGGGAGCGACCTTGGGGCTGTATGAATGGGGGAAAGAGAGTGAGACTTAAGCAGACCCCAAGGAATTGGGAAGCGGGGAACCATGTGGGTGAGGGGCAGGAACAGAAATGCACTGTATGCCGTCTTTTGGAAAGGGGTGGTGTGCTTGGAATATCTGCTCAGTGCAGGCGCGTGGCAGACCCCAGACGCGTGGCAGACCCCAGACGCGTGGCAGACCCCAGACGCGTGGCAGAACCTCAGTGCAGATGCGTGGCAGACCCCAGACGCACGGCAGATCCCAGACACATGGCAGACCCCAGACCCATGGCAGACTCCAGACGCGTGGCAGACCCCAGACGCGTGGCAGACTCCAGACGCATGGCAGAACCTCAGTGCAGACTCGTGGCAGAACCTCAGTGCAGACGCATGGCAGACCCCAGATGCGTGGCAGACCCTCACCAGATGGTGGACTTCTTCTTTCCAGGGCAGGGAGCTGGAGCCAGGGTGCAGGGAGCCAGGGACAGTCTGGGAGACTGGCCTGAGGGAGCTGGCATGGGCAGTGGGTTGAAGGCAGAACCTCGGTAGGAGGAAGCGACTGTAACCTGTGAGGAGGTGGAGCTGCTCCTGGAGACCTGGGGGCTCTGCTCACCCCAGTTCCACCTCTTGGAACTCACAGGCACAAGCGAGGAGGGAAAGGGACCCCAAGTAGGGTTGTAAAGACGAAGAGGGCAGTTGGTGTAGCTCTCTGCAAAGGAAAACGGGGATACCTCCGCTCCCCTCTTTGCCACAGTGTGAATCTCTGCTTCTGATTCCTCAAGACTTGATTCCCGAATGTGGGGTGTCTGTGGGGTGACTCGTCCCAGAGCAGGGACCTTCGATGCTCAGACACTGTGGGGCCCAGGACAAGGACTCAGGGTTTCTGCATTCCCAAGCAGAGCCAGCCTTGTCCAGCAAGGAGTAGGCAACCGACGCTGTGGCGCTGTCTCCGAGGGTCACGGAGGCCCTGTGACCACTTGCTTCTAGAAGCTGAAAGTCTGTTCATGGCCCCAGGCCAAAGCCTGGGCCACGCCATAATAATGCGGATACCGTGGGGAAGTGGCGTGGTCCCCCAACAGTCCCTCCAGCTCTGGGTGGACGAGCTGACCCTGTTCTTTCCTGGAGGTAAGAAAATCATAAAGGTAAAGAGTCATGTGGAGCATCCTGTGGGCGCCTGGACGGGGCAGCAGGAGGGACCTACTGCAGGGAATTCGCAGACACCAAGGCCCAGCTTGGCCTTCGTGATCATTTTGCACTTTTTTTTTTTTTTGAGATGGAGTCTTGCTCTGTCGCCCAGGCTGGAGTGCAGTGGCACCATCTCAGCTCACTGCAAGCTCCGCCTCCCGGGTTCACGCCATTCCCCTGCCTCAGCCTCCCTAGTAGCTGGGACTACAGGCACCTGCCACCACGCCCGGCTAATTTTTTTTGTATTTTTAGTAGGGACGAGGTTTCACCATGTTGGCCAGGTTGGTCTCGAACCCCTGAACTCAGATGATCCGCCCGCCTTGGCCTCCCAAAGTGCTGGGATTACAGGCGTGAGCCACTGCACCCGGCCCGTGGTCATTTTTCTGTCAGCTCTTGCTCGTGGGTCCCCCCATTACCTTTCCACAGGTTTTGTTTGGTGACGCTTTCAGGACAACAGTTTTCCATCTCTAGAGGAGAAAGGAGCATCCAGGTGAGACCAAACTAAGCGCTGGACATCTTGTTGACCGAACACAGGTAGCTGACCTCTTTCCCATGCCAGGAAGGCCAGAGGCACACAGCGCTCTCCGGAAGCTGCTGTGACGGCCGAGACTCCAGGAGGGCGTTACAAACCTGGGCTTGATCCCAGCTCTGCCACCGCGTCACCACAAAGTCACAGCCTCTTCGAGCTGTTTTCCTCGTTCACCTGTAAAATGGGGATAACACCTATCTGAAAGGTTGTAGGGTGGGAGTGAGCCTGTAGATGCTGAGGGGCTGCGGGAGTATTAGGACACCTGTTGTGAGGACACCTGTTGTTACGACACCTGTTGTGAGGACACCTGTTGTGGAGGACACCTGTGGAGGAACGTGGCTCCTCCTTCCATCCGGGCATCATCCCTGGAGGGAGACACAAACGAGGGCCAGCCAGGATACAGGAGGAGTCCGGAAGTGAATTTCCAGGCCCAGGTCTTTCCTGCGTCCCCTTTGAGTCTTATAGGATCCTGATTAGGAGCGTGAGATCCTGGAGAACTGGGCGTGCGCACTCCTGTTCACCTCTTCCCTGCCCACGCCCGTTTCCCTTCTGCTTTCCAGCTCCCCTCAATATGCCCATTTTCCAGAGTTAGGATGTGTCTGGGTCTCTGTGATAAATGGCTCTGTCTTCATCTGGGTTGGGTCACGGGACACCCATTTGTCCTTCCTTCTCTCCTCCCAAGGCATCCGATGGGGACAGAATGGGGTGAATGAGAGGGGACAAAATGAGTGGCTTCTCTAGTTCCTTGTGGCCGAAAAACCTCCTAGGCCCGCATACTGCTGGGTCTGCATAGGGGCAGGAGTCTGAAGTCAGGTGTAAGTTAATATTCCACGGGAGGCAGGAAGAGCTTAGTGTGGATGTGGGGTGTAAGTAAATTGGAGCAAGGATAAGATCATGAGATTCTCCCAGACTTGGCTTGAAGAGACAGCTGGGTTTGAGGCAGCAAAGCCAGGATCTCCAAGAGAGATTCCCCTTCTAAGCTACCCAAGTAGGAGTCCCTAGTTTTTTGGGTCCCCTAAAATTGCTTACCTTTATATCATTTATGCCTCGTGCTGTGAATAAAGTTCAATCTTGTCAGACTTAGGACAACTAGGCTGATCTCGAGCAGGAAGCTGGATGTTTATTAAGTCTGATTTACCTACTCAGTCTGGACTAAAAAGGTGTGTGGATTCCCTAGTCAGTGACCCAGCATGAAGCCGGTCACTAGAGTGCCAGGCCCTGAGCCTGTCCCCATGGCCCTGTGAAGTACAAAGCGCTGCCCTACCTCTCAAGTGAGCACGCTGAGGCTCCAGGAGCTTCATCATCCCCGAGTCACCGGCCAGGTCGGGCCATCTAGGGAAACTGGAGAGTGTTAACTCCGCAGTTACAGCCTTCTGGGCCACACACTGTCCCAAAGCTGGAATTTGAGCTCTGTTCTGCCTGGCTCCAAAGCAAAAGAAGGGCAATCACCTGGGCTGACCGCCCACGACATCCTTCGCTCCGGGTCCTTTCCCGGTGGCAGGTGGAGACGGCCTTTTGGAGGGGCCTCGCTGTCCAGCTGCAAGGATAGTGGTTAGTGGACAGCTCCCAGCTGCTGGCCCCTGCAGGGTGGGCCTTGCTTTTATGCTGAGCTCATGCTCTTCTCCAGGTGACCCTGTGGCCGATGACTAAGCAAAGTGGCATCACAGTGACCTCACCATTTCCACCCCACAAGACTCCGCCAACAGGCAGTCTGCCCCTCAGAGCGCCCCATGGGCAGGAGCTTTGTGGCTGTGTCAGCTGTGCCACATCCTCCTGCCCAGCCCGGCCTCCTTCTTCTTACACAGGTGCCACATCCTCCTGCCCAGCCCGGCCTCCTTCTCCTTACGCAGGTGCCACATCCTCCTGCCCAGCCCGGCCTCCTTCTCCTTACGCAGGTGCCACATCCTCCTGCCCAGCCCGGCCTCCTTCTCCTTACGCAGGTGCCACATCCTCCTGCCCAGCCCGGCCTCCTTCTCCTTACGCAGGTGCCACATCCTCCTGCCCAGCCCGGCCTCCTTCTCCCTACGCAGGTGCCACATCCTCCTGCCCAGCCCGGCCTCCTTCTCCTTACGCAGGTGCCACATCCTCCTGCCCAGCCCGGCCTCCTTCTCCTTACGCAGGTGCCACATCCTCCTGCCCAGCCCGGCCTCCTTCTCCTTACGCAGGTGCCACATCCTCCTGCCCAGCCCGGCCTCCTTCTCCTTACGCAGGTGCCACATCCTCCTGCCCAGCCCGGCCTCCTTCTCCTTACGCAGGTGCCACATCCTCCTGCCCAGCCCGGCCTCCTTCTCCTTACACAGGTGCCACATCCTCCTGCCCAGCCCGGCCTCCTTTTCCTTACACAGGTGCCACATCCTCCTGCTCAGCCCGGCCTCCGCCCTTCTCCTTACGCAGATGCCACATCCTCCTGCCCGGCCCGGCCTCCTTCTCCTTACCAGGTGCCACATCCTCCGCCCAGCCTGGCCTCCGCCCTTCTCCTTACCAGGTGCCACATCCTCCTGCTCAGCCTGGCCTCCGCCCTTCTCCTTACAAGGTGCCACATCCTCCTGCTCAGCCTGGCCTCCGCCGTTCTCCTTACCAGGTGCCACATCCTCCTGCCCAGCCTGGCCTCCGCCCTTCTCCTTACGAGGTGCCACATCCTCCTGCCCAGCCTGGCCTCCGCCCTTCTCCTTACGAGGTGCCACATCCTCCTGCCCAGCCTGGCCTCCGCCCTTCTCCTTACCAGGTGCCACATCCTCCTGCTCAGCCTGGCCTCCGCCCTTCTCCTTACCAGGTGCCACATCCTCCTGCCCGGCCCGGCCTCCTTCTCCTTACGCAGGTGCCACATCCTCCTGCCCGGCCTCCTTCTCCTTACCAGGTGCCACATCCTCCTGCCCAGCCCGGCCTCCTTCTCCTTACCAGGTGCCACATCCTCCTGCCCAGCCCGGCCTCCTTCTCCTTACGCAGGTGCCACATCCTCCTGCCCGGCCCGGCCTCCTTCTCCTTACACAGATGCCACATCCTCCTGCCCGGCCCGGCCTCCTTCTCCTTACCAGGTGCCACATCCTTCTGCCCGGCCCGGCCTCCTTCTCCTTACCGGGTGCCACATCCTCCTGCCCGGCCTCCTTCTCCTTACCAGGTGCCACATCCTCCTGCCCGGCCCGGCCTCCTTCTCCTTATGCAGGTGCCACATCCTCCTGCCCGGCCTCCTTCTCCTTACCAGGTACCACATCCTCCTGCCCAGCCCGGCCTCCTTCTCCTTACCAGGTGCCACATCCTCCTGCCCAGCCCGGCCTCCTTCTCCTTACGCAGGTGCCACATCCTCCTGCCCGGCCTGGCCTCCTTCTCCTTACACAGATGCCACTTCCTCCTGCCCGGCCCGGCCTCCTTCTCCTTACAAGGTGCCACATCCTCCTGCCCAGCCCGGCCTCCTTCTCCTTACCAGGTGCCACATCCTCCTGCCCGGCCCAGCCTCCTTCTTCTTACCAGGTGCCACATCCTCCTGCCCGGCCCGGCCTCGTTCTCCTTACACAGGTGCCACATCCTCCTGCCCGGCCCGGCCTCCTTCTCCTTACCAGGTGCCACATCCTCCTGCCCAGCCCGGCCTCCTTCTCCTTAAGCAGGTGCCACTCCCCTATAGCCTTCACATTCCTTCCACCAACTCAGCATTTGCTTCTGGGAGGACCCGACCCGAGACACTCACGTAAAAGAGGATGCCCACGTACAGATGTGGCAGCAGGCCCTCCGAGCTGGGATTCAGACCCAGGTCAGCACGACTCCAAAATCTTTCCTCCTCTGCAGCTCCTTATTCCATGGTTCAGCAGGGAGGCGGGCGGGCTGGAGGCCCCGGCACCTGCTGTATGTGGTCTCTATCCGAGGCCATGGTGAAAGCAGGGAGGTGGGTGGGCTGGGGGCCCAGCACCTGCTGTATGTGGCCTCTATCTGAGGCCATGGCGAAAGCAGGGGCCCTGGTACTAGGGTCACACAAAGGCCACTGTCATTCTCTTGGGATTCGGTTTCTCCTTTCCCTAAAAGTGCCAAGCATTCTCACGCCAATTAGCTCATTTCCTGTCTCATCTCACCTCTGTGGTGGAGCAGGGCATGATTTTTACGCATGCAACGTCTTCTTACGGGCATCCCTGTGAAGCAGGGCCACCCCGGGGCACAGGAGGGCCTGGAGGTCCAGGGATCTAAACTCATTCCATTCACCCAGCCTTAAGGAGAAGAAAACCGAGGCCAGGAAGTCAGCAAGAACATGAAGTCGGTGACCCAGCATCCAGGTCCCCGGATTTGCCACCTGTGTCCTTTTGTGGGGCTTCCCTTTGTAAAGCTTGAAAGAATAAGAGGATCTTAACATAATTTTAAAACTGGAAGAGACCCTGGTGACCATGTCATCCGAAGCCCTCATTCTACCGTGGAGGAGGTGTGGGCCCAGAGAGAAGGGAGGTCCTTGTTGGCGCAGCCGGTGAGCGGCAGGGTGTGTCCCGGAGCCCGGGTTTCCAGCGCCCTCTCTGTCTTGCTGCCGAGCGTCCACGTCTGTTCGGTTGTCTTTGCACACTCCTGGCTCCCAGTTAGACCGCTGCTCCCAGGCGGAACGTCTGCCACAGGGGACACGTACATGCGGCCACCATGGGGACTGAATGAGGGTGGGCCCACAAAGCTCTCCAACGCGGGGTTCTGACAGAAAGCCCAACCCGGGCCGAAAGCCATCTTTTAAAATGAAGTTTACTGGGTTTCTTTTTTCATTATAAAGTAATGCACACTGTCCACAGAGATATGAAAATATTTAAAAGTAGAGAGAAGAAAAACATCATCAATGTTTCACCACCCAGGAACAACCCTATTAACGCGTTGAGAGATTTCTGGCTTGTTTCTCATACATAGCTCATATCCATAGTTTAAATCTATCATATCCTAGATATAGTTTGATCTCCTCTTTACCACCTAACTTTATTTATTTATTTATTTATTCATTTTTATTATTTATTTATTTATTTTGAGACAGAGTCTCGCTCTGTCACCCAGGCTGGAGTGCAGTGGTGCGATCTTGGCTCACTGCAACCTCCGCCTCCTGGGTTCACGCCATTCTCCTGCCTCAGCCTCCCGAGTAGCTGGGATTATAGGCTCGTGCCCCCATGCCTGGCTAATTTTTGTATTTTCAGTAGAGACGGGGTTTCACCATGTTGGTCAGGCTGGTCCCAAACTCCTGACCTTGTGATCCGCCCGCCTCAGCCTCCCAAAGTGCTGGGATTACAGGCGTGAGCCACTGCGCCGGGCCATGACCTAGCTTTAAACCTAAAAGTCTCCCCAATTATTATAAAACTCCATTCACACATTTCTGAAGGCCACGTGATACTGCATTGGCTGCCACCATAACTGAACTAACTTGGACACTGGGTTATTCACGGCGTCCCTGTTACAGGTAATGCCCGGATCAGAGGCTTTGTACCCAAAGTGCCTTCTGTGTTCAGGATCATTTCCTGAACCTGGAAGCAGAGCTGGTGTGTTCTGATCGGCGGCTCTGACCCTCCTTCTACAGTCAGAAGTCCATAAACATGAGCTTGCTCTGTCCAGGATGTCGGCACTTTTTTGGACACTTGTGAT